>NC_000003.12:168099513-168251028 GCF_000001405.40 Homo sapiens | reverse complement strand
ATTCACATTTCAGAAAGGCAAAGGTGAAGCAGAGTAGGAGCAAAATGGCAAAAATGTTTACATGTTCAAAATATTCTGGTGTCTATTCATAACCGCCCAGGAGCAGAAATCGAAAAGCAGAATTAGATCTGTTTTCTCTCTCAGGTGGTTCGATGATGATTCCGCTGAGGCTACAGAATTCAGGTGAAACTTCTCCAGCCAGTCAAGAGGACTAGGCAATTTGTAAAGACTTAGACTTCCCGTGAGCTCCTCGCTAATGGTTGACACGGTGACAAGAATTATCTCCTAGCTTTCATGATTTCTAATCCGGAATGAAACCATGCCCATCCTGAGACGATGCGTTTGAGTCACCTTCCTACTAACTCTTCAGTTCTCTAATAAGGGGACTAGCAGCTAAGTGGCCGAGCACTCAATCCTTCATATACTCATCTCCCCAGCTCCTCACTTCGGCAGACGAGCCAGGATTTGCCTCTGGTCAAACCTGTGGAATAAACCACTCCGTCCGACTCGGCGATACTTCCCCCAAAAAAAGAAAGAATACATGTGCACGAACTCATTGGTCTCTACAAAGAAAAAAATGTCAAACTCGGTGTTCGACAGGATTTCATTCACAACCCTGTCACAAAGTGGTAGTCATTAGCCAATTACTCTTAAAACAGAAAAATAACGAAAACACACACATACCACGCGCGCACACACCCAAACCTGGGGGCGGGGGACAAAAATCTGTCAGGCGCTGAGGAAGTACCGGGTGGAGAGCACACCCGCCCCGGTCGCGGTCTCCGCTCCCGGGCTGGCGCTCCCCAAGGACTAGCTGGGGACTGCGTTCCGCCGCGCTCCGCCCGGGACAGCCCGCAGCCCCCGCAGGTGTCTGTCCCCACCTCCTGCCCCCCATCCCTTCCCGGGCTCGGGCCGCGGTGTCCGCACCAGGTCCGAGGTGGGGCGGGGCATACTGTTGTCTGCTCTCTCCAAGCGTTCCGGAGCGCGCGGGCGCCACTTACATGCCCAGCCGGAGCTGTAGGGCGCTTCCTGGCGGCCAGCCGGCAACCGCCCAGGCAGAAGCACCAGAGCCACAGTCGCGAGGACATCTCGGCGAGGCTGATCCGCCCTGGCCGCCGCCCGGGCTGCGCGCGGTGCGCCGTTCCGGCTCCGCAAGTCCGAACCCGGCGCAGAAGTTGGGCTTGTCGGGCAGAAGTTGGTGCAGGGCTCGTGAGGCTGGCGCGGCGCGTCTGTCTGCGGAGGGAACGGCAGCAGCTTGGCCCCAACAGGCGTCACAGGCGTCTGGGAGCGCGAGGAGCGGCCGGGCGAGCCCCAGAGGCTCGGTGGCCGCTGAGCTGCATGCCCCTGCTCCGCCGGGAGCAACTGAAACCGAGTGAGCCCAGTGGCCCAGCAGCCCCCGCAGCCCCGGTGCCATGGAAACGCGCTCGCCGCCCTCCCGCCCCAGCCCCTCCGGAGCGCTTAAAGAGACAGCCCCGCCGCCACCACGGGCTTGAGGCGCTGCTGGGCGTCCCCCACGCCCTGCGCCCTCCTCGACCCCTCCTCTTCACCCAGCCGCGGCGGGGGCTGGGCGCTGGGGGCTGGAAGGGCAGCTGGGACGCAAAATAAGGGGCTTCGCTCAGTACTCAGCCTAACTCTGCTCCCACCTCTTCCTACCCGCCCCCCTCCCAGCATACACACTCAAATCCCGCCAAAGAGCCCAAGCAGTCCTGGCTTTTCCTCTCAAACATCAGCCTGCTCAGAACCAAACCAGTTGTGCACGAGCAGAGACCAAAAGAAGGCTGACTTTTGATTCTCTTGTTCTGCTTGGTCCCCACCCCGAGTCTGGGGAGTCGGTTAGAGCACTAGGCTGAGGGAGGTGTGTTTGAAGTGGGAACCAATTGTCAGTTGATTGAGTCAAATCTGCCAAATCGACAGTTGCAGGACATATCGCCGGCTCATCCAGAAATCCTCCTCACTCAAAACGGGGTCATCTCTCTTCGTTTTATTTGGCTATCATCTCACCCCCTTTAGGCACCAGAGTTATAAGGAGGAGCCAACGCTTTTACAAACTTAATCCCTCCTTTCCTTCAAACCAGCTCCTTTCCCCCAAATATAAGGAGGAACAGCCAGTCGCGAGCACCATGGCCCCTCCAGAGACGAACAGCGTCCGCTCCTGCTCGGAGCGGGAAGCTCTCTGGCTGCGGTGCTGGCCAGCGCAGCCTGGGACGCACGGCCAAGCGCGATGCAGTCGCCAGCAGCTCAGGCCGTAGGCTGTGCCTCTGCCCGGTGCCAGCTGTTGTCTGGAAGGCCACAAACCTCTGGAGTCTGTTTCGTGAAAATAAAAATCTATGGTGCATCGTGCCCTCCAACAAAGGACAGCCCAGGCTCCGAAGCCATAATCTGCTGTTTATCCCTGAAAAAAAAAAAAAAAAAAAAAAATCAATCTGCAGTGGGACGACTTTTTTCTTTGATTCCTAAACTTACCAAAAGTGGCTCTCCAGTGACTCATTCATAGTTAAATACTGTACTTAAAGTGGTACCACCTGATTTCCTCAGTTCTGGGAGCCCTAAAAGGACCTTTCCCAAATGGTTATGTGGGCTCCCTCTTGTCCTGAATATTTGAAATAACCATCTGGCTCTTAGTTTCAGTGTTTTGAGCCTTTGTTCCCTTTGTTTTTTTTTTGTTTTTTGTTTTTTTTTTTGACGGAGTTTGGCTCTGTTGCCCAGGCTGGAGTGCAATGGCGAGATCTCGGCTCACTGCAATCTCCGCCTCCTGGGTTCAAGCGATTCTCCTGCCTCAGCCTCCTGAGTAGCTGGGACTACAGGCGCGCGCCACCACGCGCAGCTAATTTTTTGTATTTTCAGTAGAAACGGAGTTTCACCATGTTGGCCAGGATGGTCTCCTGACCTCGTTATCTGCCCTCCTCGGCCTCCCAAAGTGCTGGGATTACAGGCGGAGCCACCGCGCCCGGCCCATTTGGGCTTTTACAGAAGGGATTGAGAAGCAAACTTTTGTCGTTTCTCTGAAAAGGAAAAAAAGGTGGAGGTGAGATAAAACCAAACTACTCCTGAATTCTTCAGCATTCTGTGACTTTGCTCTCCTTGAGCTTCAGAGTTTGGAATTCATGCCACCCTATAGTATTTTCTATTTCTCTGAGACATATCTGTATCTTTTACTCCTTTTAAAATTGAAGTTTAATTTAGTAAACTGAAAAGCCACAAGTACAAGTACGTAACTAGACATCTTTATCCTTTGACAAACATCTTTAACAAACATAATTTTTGAGCTTTCCACAATAGAAATCATTACTTAACCCCCCTTATTTCATTTTTTTAAAAAAAGGATTCATTCTGACTTCTCTTTCTAAATGCCAGATATACATCAACCAGGCCTTCTCTAACCCCAGAGACAGTGGACTTGGTGATAGTGGTGATTATATCTACTGTAGAGTTGCATTGTAACTTGGCTAACTCTAATTAGTTCTGATATTAACAGGCCTAGCATAGGCTGAGAAAACACGTTGACAATTTAAAAATATATTTTTAACTCTTACTTCTAACTTCTACTCAACCTCTTGGCCACCTTTTTTAACAAGTAACAAAGTTGATTGCTTAATTTCACCTCCTCTTTTTTTTCTTCCCTCTTCTAGTGAGATGCTAATGAACAGTGAAATGACCAAGGCAGTCAGGGCACTGTGGGGGAACAAGGAAAGAAAAGAAACTGGATAACACACAAAAATGGTGGCTTCTGAACTGATGGTACTAACTATATAAGGTGGGGCTGTTTTTCTCCCCATCTGGATATAGCTATAGGTAAAAAAATATAATAATAATCCTCTCCATTGATTCGATTTTTTGTTTGTCTTTTGGATGAAATGTAAAGACTCCAGATTGTTTCAATACAGTTTGATCTTAATTATTTTAATAAAAATGTATAGCATACCAAGAGATGACAGTAAAGATTAATTGTACCCCAAAATTTCCTTTGACTTGCTAAGCTTTTATTTGCTTCTGAACTAATTTTAACTCTGCTTGGATGTATCCCAACCAATTTCATTCCCTCCTGGAATGTAAAAAGTTTCTAAACATTCTCTTTCATAATATCGCTGAAAGTCTTGCATAAATAATAGATCACATTTATTACAAGACTAAATTTTATGTAAGCCACAGCTAATATTCAGAACTATTTTAAAAGCTAAAGAATAATAGAAATACAAGAATGTATGTAAATCATCTGATCGCATAGTTGTTTAGTGAAGGACAGCTTAGGTACATGGGAAGTAACTAAGCCCATTGAAAATCATAAATTAGAAAAGTTTCCTTTTATATACATTAGTTTCAAAGCACATTTTTACTATAGATGAATATTTAAAGCACTTAGGATGCTACAGCATAAATATGATTAGTGTACATTTCAGAAAGTGAGATTTATTTCAAATTATTCTAGCATGGATAATAATATGAACACAATGTCATGTAAGCAACAGCATTAAATGAAATATACTTTTCTAACACAAGTGTTAAAATTTTGCCATGAACTTGAAAACACTGATTTGAAATCAGCTCCCCTTCTGCAGTATATTCATACAATTTTGAAATAACTGGTTATTTGGTTTGATTGGTTGGGTATGCTATATCTTTAAAACAAAAAAGTATTATGAAACCTGTTAGTTATAATCTTCCATATTAAAAGAACAATGCAGTTTGGTGTTTGGAGGTTGTTATGGACACCCAAAATGAAGGCAGACACAGACAAAACAATTAACTCCACCTTTATTGTCAAAGGAAAATAAATTTTAAATTTAACCGAGCAAGAGAATGAGCCAGTTACACAAAAACCAATTTTAAAAATAAGAGAATAAAAAGTTTTGTGTTGATGATATCCCTTGCTTGGACATAAATATTACAGAAAAAATCCAGAAACATTATCAATTGAGTTTTATTTTTGTGAATGATCTTGCACAATCTCAATCTAGAGAGATTCTTAAAAATGAGTTAGAAATTGCAGACAAACATTCTATCTAAAAGGAGTCCTAAAGATTTTGAGGGAGTCCTTCAGTGGGAGTTCCACATGCCACTTCACTCTCCCTCCAGACCTGTATCAAAGGAGTAATAAATCTAACCAGCTTCTCTCCTGTTAGGAAGGGGTGGGGTAAGCCAATTTAATGCTTTATGTATGCTGGTTGTAAAAGGGGATGCTTACCTATAAAGAAATAAATTTCGACCAGATGTTCTAAAAATCTTCTTGAGTTCCTGCTTGAAGCTTTACAGCTACCAAATACTTTATCTTCTCAGCTATCTTCTTCTAATTTGTTGATCCATGGCAATTCAACAAGCAGGCTGCTACAAAAACCTTCCAGCCAAAGCTTTTCAGTCCTGCTCTCCTGCACACAAAAACTTCCAGTGTCTATATGGGGACAGGAAAAGAGTACAGGCCACTTCATTCAGCAGGTGTTGAAGGTTGAAAAAGGAGGACGTCAGAAAGCAATTCTTTAAAGGGCAGCTTCTGTCACCTGAAAGTGTAATAAATTCCCATTATAAAAATGCCTACAAGCACTAATGAGACATGCACATTGAAATCTTGATGTCAGACAAAATAGAACGAAATTCACCCAGGAACCAACTGAGACTGTCCCACCAAGATGTGAATAATCGTTCTCCCTTTGGCATAATCTGCCACTAAATTTTGCCCCTCCAAATCCATAGTTTTCTCTCTCTCTCTTTTTATGGAAAATAATAAATTCTTTATAAAACTCATGAAATATATGGCTGGTGATTTATACATAATTTCTCAGCACTCCAATACTCATTGGTCATAAAGACTTACCAATCAGATTTGAGTTAAATGGAATGATCAGATCTGGAATTATATGTATTTATTAGAACAGAATTGGAAGATTAGCCCAAATACACATTTTTTTAGAAACTGTACTTTGCACAGCTAATGCTTTTTTGGGTGTATGGGGTAAAAAGTATGTAACTTTAAATTTATAATCTTAACCATTTTTAAGTGTATAGTTCACTACTGTTAAGTATATTGTTGTGCAACAGATCTCTAGAACTCTTTTATCTTGCAAACTGAAACTCTATATCCATAAATACTAATTCTCCCTCTCCCTTCCTCCCAGCCCTTGGCAACCGCCTTTCTATTTTCTGTTTCTGTGTTCACTATTTTAAATACTTCATATGAATAGAATCATAGAGTATTTGTTCTTTTATGACTGGCTTATTTTGCTTAGCATAATATCCTTGAGGTTCATCCATATTGTGGCATTTGACAGGATTTCCTCCTTTTTAAGGCTTTATAATATTCCATTGTATGTATATAAATTTTCTTTATCCATTAATCTGTCAATGAACATTTGGGTTGTTTCCACCTCTTGGCTATTGTAAATAATGCTGCAATAAACATGGGTGTTCAAATATCTCTTTGAGATCTTGCTTTTAATTATTCTGGCTATATACCCAAAAGTGGTATGCTGGAACATATGGTAGTTCTATTTTTAACTTTTTGAGGAAACTTCATACACTTTTCCATAACGGTTATACTAATTTACCAACAGTGTGCAAAGGCTTTCTTTTCTCCATATCCTTTCCAATATTTGTTATATTTTACCTTTTTGATAATAGTCATTCTAATAGGTATGAGGTGATATCTCATTGTGGTTGTAATTTGAATTTATCTAATGATTAGTGATATTGAGTAACTTTTCATACATCTGTTGGACATTTTTATGTCTTCTTGGGAAAATGCCTATTCAGGTCCTTTGCCTATTTTTAAAAAATGGGTTATTTGTTTTCTTCCTATTGAGTCGTTTGAGTTTCTTTTATAAACACACCTAAGAGATACTGCAAGTTCAATTCCAGACCACCAGAATAATATGAATACCCCAATAAAGTGAATCACATGAATTTTTTGGTTTTCCAGTACATATAAAAATTACATTTACACTATACTGTAGACTATTAAGTGTGCAATAGCATTATGTCTAAAAAAAAGGTACATACTTTAATCTAAAAATACTGCTAAAAATGCTAACAATTAACTGAGCCTTCAGCAAGTCATACTCTTTTTGCTGGTGGAGGCTCTTGCCTCAATGTTAGTGACAGCTGACTGATTAGAGTGGTCATTGCTATAGGTTGGGGTGGCTGTGGACATTTCTTAAAATAAGACAACAATAAAGTTTGCCCCATTGATTGACTCTTTCACAAAAGATTTTTCTGTAGCACGCAATGCTGTTTGACAGCATTTTCTTAGAGCAGAACTTCTTTCCAAAGTGGAGTCAATTCTGTCAGATGCTGTGGCTGCCTCATCAACTAAGCTATGTAATAATCTAAATCTTTTGTTGTCATTTCAACAATGTTCAAAGTATCGTCATCAGGAGTAGTTTCCATCTGAATAAAATCACTTTCATTGCTCATCTATAAATGCCAACTCTTTAATGTTTGATCGTGAGAATTCAGTATTTCAATCACATCTTCAGATTCCACTTTGAATTCTAGTTCACTTGCTATTTCCACTACATCTGCAGTTCCTTCCTCCACTGAAATCCTGAACCCCTCAAAGTCATCCATGAGGGTTGGAATAAACTGCTTCCAAACTTCTTTTAATGTTGCTATTTTGACCTCCTCCCATGAATCATGAATGTTCTTAATTATATCTAGAATGGTGAATTCTTTCCAGAAGGTTTTCCATTTTCTTTGCCTGTATACATCAGAAGAATCACTACTTATGGCAGCTATCATCTTACAAAATGAATTTTTGCCACTATAAAAATGTGTAAGCCCAGATTGTGGCTTAGGCTGTAACTCACAAGCCCAAAATGATGGTGCTTGAAAGTTCATTATTTTATATTTTCATACAAACATAGTGCACATTTGCACCTGGAGTATTTTCTATAGTTTTGTTTGTGTGTTTGTTCAGCAGATGAAACAGGCAGCTTCAGCTTATTATACAACTATGGAGCATAGTATCCAAAGTATAGGCAGCATACTATCAAGAAAGTCAAAAGACAACTCACAGAAAGGGATAAAATATTTATGTCATATATCTGAGAAAAGATTAGTATTCAGCATATGTAAAGAGCACTTACAACTCAACAATTTTTAAAAATGGGAAAATGATTTAGATAGACATTTCTTTTAGAAGATATATAAAAGGTCAATAAACACGTGAAAAGAGGCTCAACATCATTAATCATTAGGGAAATGCCATTCAAAACCATAATGAAATGCTACTTCACACCTACTGTGATGCTATAATACAATCAAAGGCACAACAACAAATGTTGGCAATGATATGGAAAATTGGAATCTTCATATATTGCTGGTAAGAATGCTGTGATACTGCCACCTTGAAAAATAGCTTGGTAGTTCTTCCAAACATCAAACATGAAGTTGCCATATGACCCAACAATCTCACTGCTAGGCCAAGAGAATTAAAAACATGTCCACACAAAGACTTGTACAATAATGTTCATAGCAGCATTATTTATAATAGCCAAAAATTGGAGACAACTTCAGTGTTCATCAATTGATGAATGGATAAACAAAATGTGGTACATCTATACAGTAGAATATTACATAGCCATAAATAAAAAGGAATGAAGTACTGATACATGCTACAACATGGGTGAACCTTGAAAACCTTATGCTAAGTAAAAGAGGTCAGACAAAATGGGCCACATAGTGACTTATAAATCTATGGTATATGAAAGGTCTAGAATAGACAAATTCATAGAGACAGAAAGTGAATTGGTGGTTTTGAGGGGCTGGGGGCAGGAAAAAATAGGGAGTGACTGTTAATGTGTACAGGGTTTCTTTTGGGGGTGATGACATGTTATGGAATTAGATAGTGGTGATGGTTCTGGAATTAGTATTTTCACACAACTTCGTGAAAATATTGAAAAGCACTTTAAAAGGATAAATTTTGTGGTATGTAAATTATATCTCTTTATTTTAAAAAAAAAAAAAAAAAAAAAAAGCACAGTCTGCAGACCGGTAGCAAACTGCAAAGTGTTTTATACTGGTCCTCAACAAGATGAGAAGCTTGTGCCAGAATGAAAGCAGACTAAAGCACTAAGCACATTAGTTTAGCAGACTCTTATGACAAGATTTTTTCAATGGAGTATGCAGTCCATTGACTTTGATTCTGAGGTAAGCTCCTTATCACTCTGTGGACCAGGTAATGAAGAGTTTAAAAACCAGCCACTTTGAGCAAAGCTTCTATAATCTAAATGCCTCACTTTGAGAGTGAACTTGCCATTGGTTACATGACACACTATTGAATAAATCAAGATATTCATAATTTTTAAGGAAAACATTCCAAATTTATATCTTATCTATTGATTGCACATAGTAACGTAACTTCAGTTCCATTCATCATGCCTCTGTGTGTCATGCAGAGAGTTAGGTAATAGAAATAAAAAAGACAGAGAAGCAGAAGAAAGAGGAGGAGACTAGGAAGTTGAGAAGAAGGAAAGGTGAAGGAGGAGGAAGAAGAATCTAAATAAATACTAAGACAGATGCTGCATGCTCAAAGAGTTTACTCTATCCCAGACGAGTCAGCCATGTGACTTGTCCAATGTGATTAGTAACACGAGAGAAGTAGGTATAAAATGCAGATAACTGAGGCGTTACTTTGGGGAAGCGTATGCTTTCTATATGTCAAGAAATTCTTCCTCAAGCTGTATATGAGGTGAGTCATAAAGAATGAATAGGAGTTCAGTAGGCATACATGTCTGAACATTAAAGAACAGAACTAGAGTTATTTTAACAAAAAGGCTATTTGTATAAACTGGTATTTGTCAAAGTGTGGTCCCCAAACCAGCAGCATCAGCATTGCCTCAGGACTTGTCAGAAATAATTCTCAGGCCCGTCCAATACTACTGAACCAGACAGTCTGAGGGTGGGGGTTTGTGTTTTGACAAGCCCTTCAAGTGATTATGATGCATACAAAAGTTTGAAACCATTGTTTTAGAGAAATATGGCAAATAGTTTAAAAAATAGATGCTAAATCTTAAAAGAAAAAACAAAACATAGAGTTCCAATTTAACACAGTAAATCGACCACACAGTTTTATCTTTTCTACCTCCTAAACCTCACTAACTGAAGATTAAAGAAATGTTTTAGGTTCTCATCCAACCAAGTCAAACGGAAGAGGAGAAAACACTACCAACTGTTTCAAAATAGTTTGGAAGATAGAAGCCTGATGCAGGATTCCTAACTGCCTTCACAGATAGAAGTCACAAAAGTTACAGGGTTAGTACCTCCAGAAGGCAATGTCTGTAAGAAGAGAAGTGAGTCCACCCACCAGAGAAGATGGCTGAGGGACTTAGTGCTTGAAGGCAATAAGCATCCTGGAAGATGACATTGATGTGGGAGCCTAAAATGAGGGATCTGGCTGTAAAATACATAGAGTAGTTGACTCCCTGATGTTCTCTTCTCCTTCTGCCTCTCAGGAGACAGGGGATATGTTCTCTGGAGAAACTGAGCTGCAGGGGTCCAGCTTTGACAGAGATGAATCAGAGGGCTGAGCACAAGAGAATTAGGTAAAAGTCTGCAGAATGAACTGAGGGGCTCTCACGGCTCATCTCACGTGTGTTTCCCAGAAAACTTGTATCTAAGTATATGTCTTGCACCATGAGGGAGGTTGGAGGATTGTCTTCTGAAGATCCCAATGAAAGGACCAGTAACTGATAACCTTCAAGTGAAGTCCACCACTTGACTACTCTCATCCACAAAGCAGCTTCCTTTGAATATAATCTTTTTAGTGCTTACTCTTAAATATAATCAGCCAAGAATCACCAGACATGAAGAAAGTTTCCAGTTTATAGAGACCTGCATGTAAAGAACAGATATAAAGAATGTGAGAAAAGAAATGCATTCTCCTTACCCCAATTATCTTCAGAAGGACAAGAGGATACTTTACATTTACATAAACAAAATTGTTTAGCTATGAAAAAGGAACATTAAGTAAATGAGAGATAGGTATTTGACATTAAAAACAAGATAACTACAGTGAAAAAAATATTCAACAGAAAGGTAAGAAATAAATCAAGAAAATCTCTCAGAAGAGAGAGAGAAAATAGAAAAGAAAAGGAAATGAAATCAGTACATTAATCTAGGAGAACTAGAAAGAGAGGAAAGGAGAAAACAAAATAAGGAAATTATCAAAGAAATACTTCAAGAACTGAAAGACATATCTCTAAACTGAAAGGGCCCACAGAGTACCTGGGACAACAAGACTCACCTCATCATGAAATTTCAGAACAGACAGGACATAAAGAAAATTCTAAAAGGGGCAAAGGTAGCACACATACAAAAGATATCATTCAGAATATCATTGGGCTTTTGGAAAAGAAACATCAAAATGATATAGAATAGGGAAGCAATAACTTCAAAATATAGAGAGAAACAATTTTTAACCTACTATTCCATACTCAGCTGAACTATCAATCAAAGGTAAAAGTAAAACCTTTTCCAGACATATAAAAACTAAAAAAACTGAGCCCCACCATACCCTTTCCTGGAAGCTACTGGAGGAAATGCCTCAGCAAAATGAGGAAGTGAATTAAGAAAGAAGAACATATGAACACCAGAAAACAGGCAAAGGGAATTTGCAGGAAATTGGCAAAGGGAATTGTACAATCCAAGCAGTGAGCCAGAACTAAAACGTGTTCCATTAAATGAGAATGAGTAGGGAGTAGAGGATGAATATCTCCAAATAATAAAAGGAGGTAGGTCATTTAGTGTGTTTGGGAGTCACAGAATTTATTTCTGTGCATGGAACATTTGAGGGGAAAATGAACTACTTATATATGAGAAAACACAAGACAATTATTAACTATAGAAAAAATCAAAGTTCATATGAGAAAATACATCTTCTAAGACATTATTTGGCTTAGCTGTAAACAATATTCCACATATAAAATAATGCAAATATTCATACAGACATAATTGAAAGCACAGAGGAGAGGAAGAAGGTTTAGGAAGTGGGGATATAGCAGATCCAAAACAGGGAGAAAGTTAATGAATACAGCTTAATGTTGATAAGTTACGAAGTAGCAGAATGGGATATTCTATCAGATGGTGGTATATGTGTGGAAAAACAAAGTAAAGTTATAGGACAGAAAAAGAAGAGAAAAGCAGACTGTTTTGTAATGTGATGAAGCTTTCTCTGAGCAGATACATGCATTCTTAGAAGAAAACAGCCATGCCAAATCTGGGGAATAAATATTCCAGGCAGCAGTAATAACAAGTGTTTTAAAATTTTGAAACAGAAATAAATTTGGTGTGTTTCAGAGAGGACAAGAAGACTAGTAAGCACTGAGCAAACAGGAACAATAAAAGAAACATAACTACATAGGAGGAAAAAAATGAGCTTCAAGATTGAGATATATCTAAGAAGATTCTATGATTCATAGAAAAACAAAACAATATACATCTGAAATCCATACCATGGATTCTCCTGTTCCACATTACACTGTGTCTTAACTTCTTTACCACTTTTGTAGCACCAATCATTAACACCACAAGGTCCTGTACTGTAGTAAACACTCGGCAAAAAGTTATTTCGCTAATATATCTGAATCTATTGCTTGTCAAGGAATTAGTTCATTACCACATAAATCATGCCTCCTCCCATTTCTATCTGTGCTACTCCATTTTGCATTTCTCAATGTAATCTTCATCCTCCTGATTTCCTATTTGCATTTTAAATAGTAGTGACTTATAATATTTCACATTTTCTGAAAACAGAAGGCTCTTGTGTAGAAATTATAATTAGGCTGGCTGGGCAATGTTCTATTATTAGTAAGAATTGTGATTTTTTAAGAGTTGTGGGTTAATTGCTAATAACTGTATGCAGTGTTTTCCCTCAAGATGTTTTCTATTACAGTAATTAACTGAGCAGCTGGGAGAGCAGACATTAACCATTTATCTTCACAGTAGCCCTCACTTGGGACTCTCCCAAAACCTTTGCACATGGCTTTATTTGTTGTTTGATAGGTAATTTAAGAGAGAAGGATAAATGATATAGGATGTTCATACTTTGGGATAGACAGCAAGTTTAAAACTTTTTTTGGAAGAATTCTTTCTCATGTATGTGATAGACTCTGAGAACCACAGAGTGTATTTTAGGTAAGTAGGCTTCTTGGGCTAGTTTTTAATGGGCATGCTTCTTTTAATATCCTCATATAATGAAATTCTAGCACAGTGTGTGCCTCAGAAGCCTGAGTTACTCTGAAGACACCACTGGTTTATCTGCTTACAAGTAGATTGGATCAGTGAAAGCTGATTAATACTAAAAAGTTTGTTCCATAAAACTTTAGGAGCCACTTTGCCTGATGGCCCTATTCTTTTTCATGATACCAGAATCCCATCAGATTATTAACTCAGCCCTGCTACTTGATTTCAGTATGCTGCATCTCCCTCTGAGAATCTTGGTGCTTCCATGCCTGAATTCCTGCTTACTACCTGCTATAGCCCCATTCTTAATACTCTGTGGAAAATGTGATGCTTGACCCCAGCTTCTCCTTACCAACTCCGCTGTTGTTAAATGGACTCTAGCACTGCCAAGTTCCTTTCTATAGAATGCAAAAACCTGTATCTTTTCTTAATACAAGGGCATGCATTTTCTTTTAAGGGGTATTTTATTTAATATTGTTTTAAAAAGCAATGTCCAAACCACAAGCAGCACTTAGTACAGAAGAAAACAAAGTGAAGGTAGACTTTTAGAAGATTGTTAGGTACGTAAGAATGTTTTATCTTCCTTCCTGTTGAATAAAATAATACATTTTCTACTATTCAGATATCATCCCTTTTTTTAACCCCATTTTTCCAGAGGCAAGAATTTTCTTTCTTCTTAAGATTACTCCTTTTCTTTAAGTCCAGAAAAGCTCTGGGTTTATACTGTCATGAGCATTTGGTTGTAAAAACCGCACTAGAAAGAAAGCTATCTGATTTTCTGTAATTTCACAGAAGCCACACAAAAAAGAACATGCCAGCGCCTCTGGTAAATGAGGCTGGCTGCACTTTCCCTCCCACTCTGAAAATTTCAGGTATGGGACTCTGAGCCTCTATGCTATGGTTGGTGGTGGCTTGGCACAACTTGTTGGGGCCACTCAGTCAGCATCAGTGGTCAAAAGGAAGATTCACCTATCGGAGACCATGCTCATGAGTCTAAAATTGTCAAGTCTCAAGCCTATTTTGTATTTTGAAGAGTGAGACATCCTGAATATTTGAAGGCAAACAAAACTGTAGTACATGTGAGGGGAACTTTCCATACAGATTCGATACTAGAAAACTCACCAAGAGCCTGAGCCATTGGCTGGAACAACCTGGAAACAGTTGGCAAGACAACCAAAGTTACTAGGATGTGGAGTCTGGATTAGATACAAAGGAGTGTGAGTCTGTGGTCCTCAGGGTCAGTGAGAGCTTCAAGCAAAAATAAAGCAATATCCTGTATACTTTCTTGGAAAGGAAATTTCTCTGACCACTTAGATGTGAATGAGGAAGCTCTGGGGCATCCTGCTTCTTCCTCTAGAAAACCTGGACTCCATGGACTCACTCTCTCTGTACACCATTCAGACCTAAACGATGCTATCTGCTTAATTATTTATAAACAGTGCCTTGAAGGGAAATACTTTAATGAATCTTTTTTGATTGACTGGTTGTTGAACCAGTTTTGGAAAAGCCCCGCAAAGCATGACTCAAAATATAAATTGAATTTAGAAAATATCAGCTTACATATTCCAAAAAATGATAAGCACTTCTTAACTTGCCCTCACAATTTTTCCTCATGGCAAACCCTTTTCCAATACCCTCCCAGCAGTAACTAATATGGGAAGGTTAAAAAAAAACCCAACATTTTCTGCCCACCTAACAATGAAATTCACATGATAAAATTTGAGTTGCTTATTTCACATTCATATCCAAATGTTTTAATTTTACTGTCCACTACCCCCATCCAAATTTATTTTGAGCTCCTTGAGATGGAAAATATGTCTCTTAACCATTTATCTTCATAGGAGCCCAGACACTGTTTGGTGAGGCCATGTTGAATGATTGAAGTGCTTTAATTAAAACCAAATATCTTAGGCTGGGTGCGGTGGCTCACGCCTGTAATCCCATCACTTTGGAAGGCTGAGGTGGGCGGATCACGAGGTCAGGAGATCAAGCCCATCCTGGCTAACGCTACTGAAAATACAAAAAAATTAGCCAGGCGTGGTGGCGGGCACCTGTAGTCCCAGCTATTCGGGAGGCTGAGGCAGGAGAATGGCGTGAACCCGGGAGGTGGAGCTTGCAGTGAGCCGAGATCACGCCACTGCACTCCAGCCTGGGCGACAGAGGGAGACTCTGCCAAAAAACAAACAAACAAACAAACAAAAAACCAAATATCCTAAAGGCCAACTAAAAACTAACAAAAAAGCTAACTTATATTGCCATTAATACCTTGATTAACAGAAAAAAAAAAAGTAAGATAATAACAATACCTCTTTCGGTTAAAGTATAAACACCATCCCATCTAAGAAATTAAAACCAAGGACAAGCCTTGGCATTTGGCAAGTTCTTTATAAGCAAAGAAACACATAAGGTTTTGCTGTAATTCAAGAGCCAATCTTGTCAGCGCTTTAAAGAGAGTAGAAATTAAGCTACATTAAAGCTTCTCTTGGCCCAGTTATAGAATGAGAACAAGCATCTATGGAATGGTTCCAGGATAGGTTTCAAATCAGTTTGAATCCAACTATTGGGTCCTTATTAGGACTTCAGGGGACAGCCAAGAATTGCATTTAATTCATTATCTTGTTCTGAAAGTGCTACAGTGACTGCTACACAAATTGAAAGCAGCATTTACACAAGCTAATACGTATGGTATCTTTCCAATTTATCTTTTAGGCATTATCACTTCCCAATGTACCTCCTTGAAAGTTTGACATGTGGCCTGAATTCTCATTTTGTAGGATGATAGCTATTCACCCTGAAGAGAACATTGAAGAAAATGGCCCTGCATTAAAGTGCTAAGAATGCTACCTGAAATACATTTTAAAAGATTTGAAAATAGCTACAGCCTGTGGCAGAAATTGTGTTAAGAACATACCTTCTAAGCAGTTCATTCTCTCTAGATTAAGCTGCAGCATTCTTGAGTTAATTCATTGCTGTTTAGCTCATGTTAGGCAATCTGGTGTAAATTCACAATGGAATTATTGTCCCCCTTTTTGAAACACTCAAGGAAACCAATTTTTATTCTTCACTGTTCTTGAAAAGAGAGAAAATTTAAACAATATATGTTTGTCCCTGTGATGTCAAAATAAATATGTTGAAATTCAAGATAGGAAAATGTTCCTTTAGTAAACCAGGAGGGATGAAGCAGGAAGAAATGTTGCCCACATATAGAGTGACTTCGAATAGATCATTGATCTCACTGCTTAGCATCCCCTTTTATAGTAAGTATTAACAAAACTCTGCGTAGATATGAAATTGGCAGTATAATCCTAGAGTGTTTTATGTAACTAGACACTAGCAACTGAGAATACTGTATTGACTCTCAGATTTCAGGCAATAGCCCTCCAAGAAACTCATATTAATGCTGTATATTGATATGGAACCTTTCTTCCAAAAGTACAAAGCACTTCCTTAAAATTGCCTTGCTGGGTTTTATAACAACTCAATGATGAGACTGAGACCATGGTGTGTAACTGAGATAATACATTAAGTTTTCTCATTTTCAATCTAGTATTTCAAACACTTAATCATTGGTTGTCCTTTCAGTCTCCAAAAATGCCAGAAATTATCCATTCTATACAAGATTTGAAAAAGGTTATATTTCAGAGAAGGTTCTTTTAGAGTCTATAAACCATTAAATAAAAGTGTAAAAATCAATTGTATGAGACTATAAGTGACTTTCTTTTTCAGTTAAGGTTTCTGTCTATTTTTCCATCCCAAAGAAAAATAACATGAATGTTAGAAAATATCAATAAAATAGATATTTTCAGTAACTGTACAAAATATTTCAAAAGTTAAGCACACTCTTTACTAATTGAGAATGCTTGAGTAACCTTTTAACTGCAGAAAGCTTTCACTGGTCTTTTAAAAATGTAAGGATTAGCCATATTAGGAAATATTTAAGAACATTTTGATGCAGATATCAAATGAAAAAATAGGGTTTTTTTAGAAAGTAATTATGTCTTATTTTCTTATGTTACTTCTAGTCTCTGACTTAACAACATGTAGTGCCTAAATTACAAAATCTGCTACCAGATGTAATAAATGCCCAAAGAAATGAACACTATAAGATCAAAGCTCTATACAGGTGCAAAGTAAAGAGAGGCTTGGTGGTCCAAAAGCAAGTTATACAAGTCAAGGCCTCGACCATTAATTTGACTTCCTGTTTTGTTGAATCTAATATGATGAGCTAAAGCCTAACCCAATGCATTGCCCTTCTCTGTTCTTTTTAGAGCACCTCTTCCCCTCTTAATCACTCGATCCTTTGAAGATATATATATCAATGAGAAGGAAAATCCTTTCCTAAAGCTAGCAGCTCACAGTTAGCATCTCATTGAAATTTCACAAGGAGGAGCACTGAGCATGTGTTTTTGCCCTCTGCTTTGATAAGCTGCATGATGGCTTTACCCAACACCCACTGTTACAATTGTATTTGCCCTTTGGATTAAAAACATAGTGAAGGAGAAAAATATATGTTTCATTTAGGTTTAAATGATCTCAAACCAGCAAAATCATGTGCCATCTTTGCCTTTTCTAGATTCCATATACTTTCTCTTTCATTTGGAGCAATAATGTGTTTGGTTAATAACCTGTTTTCTGCTGCTAAGGGAGCTGAAGTGCCATTAACACATATTAAAGTACCATTGATTCCATTAGTGCCGACAAGCACTAAATCCCAATTTCTTCTTAAATAAGCATTAAAACAAATGCAGATGTCCTTTATTAACAAGTAACATGCTGAGCAACCCTTATTGCAATTGTTTAATATATGAGAGATGTCTTAAAGACCAAGTTAGAATCTCAAGGAGCTGAAATGCTAGAGCTTGGGTACAATGAAAAACAAGTGAAGGAATGAATATGAATTTCCTCCATGTATAGGAGCCTATCCAAAGTGCCATTTTTTACATCTCTCAGATTAGAAACATAATCACTTTTCACTTTCATATGCTTTCACATTCATATATTATAACACAAGTAATACCACATCAGTAAATAGATACAAGTTATAGAGTTACAATAAACTGATTTATGAATGGGGAACCTAGACCCAGGAGATGGGCATGGCTTAGATGGACTCTCCTCTGTGGCCTCTATATGTGATCACCATGATTAGATGTTCCCACAGCATAGTCAAACACTTGCCTAGGAAGGAATCATATAGAAAAAACAACTATGACCCTGGGCATCAGACCTTCTTAAAAATGTGAGTATTCTAAGACCTTTTCTTATCCTAGGAGAACTTAGAATCTTCCAATTAAACCATAGAGCCAAATTTGTGGCAAAAACAAATATGTTTCAACTTTACAGTATTAGTTTCATTCCTAAGCACTGGTTTATTTCTTTATTTCTTTCCTGTTTGTTTTTCATCTCTTCTATACCTATTTCTACTGTGGATTGTGTTATTTATATATATTCCTTGTGATCTGTTTTTAATATTTTTTCAAATGAAGGTAATGAGACAAAAGTGAGAGATATTGACTCATTTTGTTTGCTTCTGTACTTGCAGAGCCTAGAATAGTGTCTGATACATAGGCGGCATCTTGGTAAATATTTGTTGAATAAATGAAAATATGGTAGGTGACAAGTAGGTAGGTATGTAGACAGAAGACATAGCACAGGAAGGAAAGGAAGGAAGGAAGGAGAAAGGAGGTGAATATTTTGGAAAAAAAATGGAGGGGAAGAGAGAAGAAAAGAAATGAGAAAAAATATTGGTATCCAAAATGAGGAATTAATTAGGGGGATATTGGTATTTGTCATAACAGGAATGAACACGTGCTTACCTCAAATGTGCCCAAATATGTAAGATTGCTTTCAACATGTCAACAATCCATCAAATGTTTATCAAATACTTATGTGTACAACAATGCTAAATGCTGGGATGATTAAAAACTACATGGCATGATCTCAGCCCACAAGATGCTTACAATAGATTTAGACATATGTAAAGGCTCACAACTGTGGAAATTTTGCCATATTTAAATAGCTTTGACTAAGTAGAAGAAATAACTATGCAAGCTAATGAGTACCCTTCTATAGTTCCATGGATGCTAACAGAAGACAGGTGACTCTTTGTCAGAGACAAGGAACTGTATTACTAACAACCAAAACAAAAGCAGGAGTACCAGCATATTTGTATTGGTTCTGTAAGTTCCTATAGTCCTTCAATAGGGATATATGGAGGGCCAGGAAGCCCCTAAACATGGAGTAGGATGTACCACAGGAGTTCCATGAGCTTAGGGAATCTGTCATTTTTTAGAAGCAGTAAGCAAGCTGCTCTTTGTCTGGAAGGTAAACAGCTGCATTGTATGAGACCTGTGATTATTTACCTTGCTTTCCATGTTTGCCACTCTCAGGATTCCCAGTCCAGTAAAAAAAGCAAGGCCATAATGGAGGATACATCTGTTATAGTGTACAGTTGTAGAGATCAAACTGTGTTGCACTACAATGTCTGATTAGGAAATAAGCTGTGATTGTGTATGTGCTGTGGGAGCTAGCAGATAACTGAAAGGTGATTGGCCAAATAGAAGAATCATAGCAGAAAGTTATCAGCACATTCATCATATAGAATAAATAGCCTTAGATAACTTGAAGCACATGGTAATGTCCTCACCCCTTTCCCCAAAGTGTCTATTATGGACGGTTTGCACATGCAGAGGCATGTATAGAAGTCACTGTAGTATAGTTAATAAGGAGTGTGACTTCAGGTGTTAGCCTGGGGTTGCAGGGGACTGGGAACTTTGTAGGGGTAGACAGGATAGGCTACTTAATTAAAAAAACACATAGCAAAAGTTGAGTTCATTTCCTAGTTGTTCAAAGAAATGTTCACATTGTAAACTAGTTGACGAATAGGGCTAAAGGCTTAATATTAACATCTATGTCCACAATATAATGTTGTCATATCAAACCTCCCAGGTGGCTTGTGTGGGCATTCTCTGGAAAGTTCTGAGACTGTCAGAATCTGCCTTCCTTCTTAAAGAGTGTATTTTGAAAACGTTTTGAGTATATTCTCTTTAGGAAAAAAAATGTAGCTCATTATATTTGGTTTTTACATGCAGCAATTTTCTGAAGAATTTTGTTTTGTTGGACAGCAGGGAGGTTGGAAACAGAAGGACACTAATGAAATTTAAAAAGAACATCTTTTTATCTCTCAGGGTTTTAGCTGCTTTTGTTTCTTGTTTATCTCCTGAAGTTCTAACTTCCTCTTTTTGATATAGAAATCTTAATTTCATTCATTGCAATATCAAAAGCAAAACATAAACCATGCACTTTTAGATGAGGAATAAGGATCAGGCTAAATAAACTCCTGTATATACTGCCTTGATGTGTTAATGATCTATAGTCAATAGCATGCTATTCATTTTGCTTTAAAAAATTATAGCTTTATACAGAAATTCAGGTGGAGAAACACAAAAACTTGCTATAAATGTACCAGGTTTGTTTTGTGTTTCTGCACAGGTATTTCTAGGTCCAAAATATTTTCATGAGTGCATTTTTACTTTTGTAGAGCTGCACGTGTCATTCTATCACTCTGTAGCTACAGGGAGATATCATAAATGAGTCCTTAGGGTTTCCTCTGGGTTATGTCTCCTCCTGTTCATTGCTGCCATCAGGTTATTAGAGTTGAATGAACTGAGCATTTGTTTTGGTTTGATTTTTAAGATAAAATAATTACAAATCTTCAAGACATCTCACAAATACAATTTGACAAATATGTCAGTATTTGTTTATAAGATGTTAGAGGGCTTTGTTCATTTAGCTGTAAAATAACTAAATCTAAGAATAAACATTCCAAAACATGTAAACAAGAAGCTAAATATCAGAAATATGAAATTAGCTTCCCATTTCAAACTCATAAGTTTGCTTTGATCTTGAATTTCATTCAAAAGCGCCTTGAATGTCTCAACATGGCCATAGTACCAATGACAATTCTAGCATTGATTTACTACTCACTATTTAGCCAAGAGTCACAAGGTCTTAAATTGCCTTAATTTGCTTAAATTTTAGAGCACTTTCTTTCTTGTTTTCCTCCAACTGAAGCATCCTGAAGTGGAATGTCGTATACAATAGGATGAAGACCTTCGAAAAACATGTAGCATAAGAGAAGAGTACAATTGCTTTGGGACATGTAGCCAAAAATTTCTTGCCAAGGCCAATGTTGAGAAGCATATTTCCCAAGTTGTCCTCCAAAACCTTTATAGTTTAAAGTCTTACATTTAAATCTTTAATCCATATAAAGTAAATTTTTGTATATCGTAAAAGGTAGGGGTTCAACTTTAATCTTCTTCATATGGCTAGCCAATTATCCAGGCACCATTTATTGATAGTGCTTTCCTTTCCCCATTGCTTGTTTTTGTCAGACATGTCAAAGACCAGATGGTTGTAAGTGTATGGCTTTATTTCTGAATTGTCTCTTCTTGTCCATTGGTCCACGTGTCTGTTTTTGTACCAGTACCAAGCTGTTTTTATGACTGGAGTTTTATAGTATAGTTTGAAGTCAGGTAGTATGATACCTCTGGCTTTGTTTTTTTGCTTAGGAATGCTTTGGCTATTCAGGTTTCTTTTTGGTTCCATACTAATTTTGGTATAGTTTTTTTCTAATTCTGTGAAGAATGACATTGATAGTCAGATAGGAATAGGATTGAATCTGTTAATTGCAAGTGGGACCTAATTAAACTAAAGAGCTTCTGCACAGCAAAAGAAACTATCAACAAAGTAAACAGACAACCTACAGAATGGGAGATTTTTGCAAACTGTGCATCTGATAAAGTGCTATTATCCAGAATCTATAGGGAACTTAAATCAACAAACAAAACACAGATAACCCCATTAAAAAATGGGCAAGGAACATAAACAGACACTGCTCAAAAGAAGACATACAAAGTGGCCAAAAACATTTGAAAAAATGCTCAACATCACTAATCATCAGAGAAATGCAAAGCAAAACCACAAGGAATATCATCTCACACCAATTAGAATGGCTATTATTGAAAAGTCAAAAAACAATAGATGCTGGCCAGGCTGCAAAGAAAAGGGAACACATATACTATTGGTGGGAATTTAAATTAGTCCAAGCACTAGAGAAAGCAGTCTGAAGAGTTCTCAAATAACTCACAAAAGAGCTACCATTTGGCCCAGTAATCTCATTAATGGGTAAATACTCAAAAGAAAATAAATAATTCTACCAAAAAATTACATGCATTCATATGTTCATCACTCCACTATTCACAATAGCAAAGATATGGAATCAACTCAGGTGCCCAAAAGTAGTATACTGGATAAAGCAAATGTGGTACATATACACCATAGAATACTATGCAGCCATAAAAAAGAATGAATTCATGTCATAAGCAGCAATAGGGTTGGAGCTGGAGGCCATAGTTCTAAGCAAATTAATGCAGGAACAGAAAACTAAATACCACATGTTCTCAGTTATAAGTGGGAGCTAAGCACTAAGTACACATGGATATAAATATGAGAACAACCGATTCTGTGGATTACTATACAGTGGGATTGGGTTAAAAATCTCCCTATTGAGCACTATGCTTACCACCAGGGTGACAAGATTCATATTCCAAACCTCAGCATTACACAATATTCTCATGTAAAAAATTGACCCAGTATCCCCAGTATCAAAAATAAAAGTTAAATTTTTAAAAAGTGAACATTGCAAATATTTTCCACTGATAATTTTTTCTCACTAAATTTTATTAAAATACAAGTTCAGATGATTGATTTTCTCAAACACTAGTTAGAAGTCAGAGTAGCAAAATTTTGTGTAGGAAAAGTCTTTTTTCTTTTTTTCTTTTTTTTTTTTTGCATAGGGTTGGGAGAAGTAGATAAGCCTAGATGTGAAATAGAGAGGCTATGCACTAGGACCTTTGAAAGCCATTTTGTTCATGTAAGATTGTAGAGATGATACATATGTATTGGAAGAGGTGACTGTGGCATAATTTGTTCTTATTAATTTCACAGGTTTGAAAAGATTTGTTGACATTTATGATCCAGTTCTACTCACCAGTATTTATCACCTTTGTCTGCAATAAGTATGCTTGCAATCACAGATACTTCATGTAGCATGCCTTGGATAGTTGTCTACTTCTCTCCTTTAAGATAATTTTAAGGCTTTTCAACTTTTAAAAACTGTTGATATTATTATAAGGAACCTAAGTTTTTGATGACAATAAAAGTTGGAAAGAGAAGACCCTCAAAAAATTAAAATTAAAACTACTATATGATTTAGCAATTCCACTACTGGGTGTATATCCAAAGGATGTAAAATGAGTATGTCAAAGAGATACCTACGCTCTGATGTTCATTGCAGCATTATTCACTATAGCCAAGACATGGAATCTATCTAAGTGGCCACCGACAAATGAATGAATTAAAAAAAGGTGGAACATATACACAATGGAATAGTATTTAGCTTTAAAAAAGAGGCAAAGAAGAGAGATCTCTACTTTGGCGTCAGAACGTTAAAAAATGCATCAAACAGTTATCAGTATTGTATTTAGTACACCAGAGTCTCTGCAGGATACCTAATATTCACCTAAGGAATTGAGTTGTAAGTTTTGTCACAATTAGAAATAGGCTTTCCCTATTGTAGGTTTACTTGGTTTTCAACATAGTTAACTTTCCGCTTTATAGGATAGCCCTGCATTGGGCACCAGCACCCAAAAGGTAAATAAAGAAATGCAGAAGCCTGGTGAAATGAAAAAGAACCAAGTGTAAAATTACTTTTCTCATCACAGTTCTTCCAAGGGTAGGGCCTGTTTCTATTCCTCATAGTTTTTACCTGGAAACTTAGCATTATGCTTATTAGAGATCAGAAAAGGAAGGTTTTCTCCTCAGGGCATGAACCAAAGATGCCTATTAAGCTTTAACTGTGAAATATTTTAAAAGAAGCTAATATTAGCATCAGCACTCTACGGTCACCAAAACTAATAAAATTATTCTGAGGATAAAAAGTAATACTGATCATGCTCCATAAAGTGGATAGTGTATCTATGTGACCTGACTGCTATAATTAAATAGTTACACAGACATGCACACTAATTGATTAATAATATAAGGCCCAGTTTTAATGGCATAAGTATCCTTATGCTAACTGAGCTTCCTGATATGTGTCTCAGGCATTTATTAGCATGAAGAAAGATATTGCCAACTATATAAGGATGAGAAAATAGGGCCACTGTAAATTCAGAATAAAGAATTAAGGTGTCTAGATCTGGCTTACTGCCAGCATCCTGTGAGACTTCTGACCAGCAGCAAGTCCTTTGACATACTTCTTTACCGTTCTTCCTCTTGTCCAAGGTGCCTTGCACAAAGTGTGCCTGTACCTTTATTTGCTTGAATATAATGTCAAATATAATAAAGTCCAAACTAAAAATTAGAAATCTTTGGTTCCTAATCTACCTTTTGCCTATAGCTGTGTGAGCCTAGAAAAATTATTTAATTTCTCTTTCCTTTAGTTTTCTCCTCTATACAGGTTGGACTAGATGAACTCTGAGGACCTTTCTAGTTCTAATATGAGATGAACTATCCTATGGAGGGGTACCTATTCAAGTAGACCTCTGCTCTATTTGCCTCCAAGCTTTCATTATTTTAACACTGTGGGTTTTTTCTTTTCTCCTTCTACTATGTGCTTTGGATGGAGCAGTCTCTACCCCTGGTGCCAGAGTGGGGTGTGTGGTCAATGCTGGCCCATGAGAGCATTGAATTTGTCTGGCCACAGTCACATGGAAACCATTGTCATATGATCCAGCTGAAGCCAATAAAATACAATGATAGCTTGGATTGCTGGTACAATCAGTGCTTAGGATGCTATGAGACTGGACATGGTGAGACTAACTTAGAAAGCCAATAAGCAGAAGGCTGAGCAAAGAGAGAGAAAAATCAAGTGTTGACATTACTTGATCACCTGGATCAAACTCACCCAGTGGCAATACAACCTGTAAACTTTTTCATTATGTGAACCAATGAGTTCTTTTGAGGTTTATGTCCATTTAGGTAAATTTTTGGTCAGTGGCAATGGAAAAAGTACTAACTGTTAATACCTGCAAATGTGCTACATTGTGTTTCAAAACCTTTTGTTACCTAAAAAATTTGGTTGTGACATAGGACATATCTAATGGATCACCTGCCTCATGCATCTGGTACTACAAAAACAAGGCCTCTATAAAATGGAAGAAAAGTTAGCCTTGAATTTGTGTTTTATTAATTCATTGAATATAAATTATCAATCCTTATCCAAAACTAAAGAAGAGAAAAGTCATATGATGCATCTCTACAATAGGCTAGTTCTCCAACCTGATCTGATAGAGTTTTTTTTTCTTTTTTTTTTTTTTTTAGACAGGGTCTTGTTCTCTCACTCAGGTTGGAGTGCAGTGGCACAATTTTAGCTCTCTGCAGCCTCAAACTCCTGGACTCGAGGGATCCTCCTGCCTCAGTCTCTCCAGTAATTGGGACTACAAATGTGGGCCACCATGTCCAGCTAATTTTTTTTTTTTTTTCAGAGATGAAGTCTTCCTTTGCTGCCCAGGCTGGTCTGGAATTCCTTGCTTCAAGCGATCCTCCCACCTCGACTTCCTAAAGAACTGGGATTACAGGCACAAGCCTGCCCCACTCTGCAACCCGGTGTAGAGACCGCTACATCAAAAGCACATAGTAGGAGGGAAGAAAAAACCCACAGAGTTACAATAATGAAAGTCTGGAGGCAAATAGAGTAGAAGTCTACTTGAATAGGTATCCCTCCGTAGGATAGTTCATCACATATTAGAACTAGAAAGGTCCTTGAAGTTTATATAGTGGCTGGGCTAATCTGTTAGATTTTCAAAGTCCACCAAGATCAGTTAAACAATTGCTGAGCTAAAGAAAAGAGCTTACAATTCATTGAGTATCTTTGACATCCCATGCAGTTATTGAAATAAATATTTGTATGCTACTTCATGTCTTTTTCCTGATGCCCTTCTCTGTTCCTCTTTCAGATGCAATTGAGCAAAATCCATTTTTTCAGCAAGATATATGCCTGTATTTCCCAATGCATACCACCTAGAGCACTAGTTTATGAGAAAATTCATGAACAGTTTTCTCACTGAGTCCAAAGGTCTGGGAGAACAAGTTTAAAATCTCTCTCTCTCCAGGAAATTTACATGAATATTAAGATATCAAATTCTCTGATTATTTCTTTTTCATATTATTTAATGCAGCATTTCCCAAACTATTTAGATAAAAGCCATTTCATGACCCCTTACAATACCTACAAATATATGAGAGAGTAGCATTCCACAGAACCTACTTTGGGAAATATTCATTTAGCTCATGGTCTCAAAACTCTTCAAAAAAAATTGTAAATATAAACAGAGCTCAGAATCAAGCACTTAAACTTTCCCTTTTATTGCACCTCTATCTTACTTGCCCACCTTCCAATTCCAGTAGAAGGTTGAGCCATATAAAGTTATCCATATTTGATGGTTTTGACCCACATCCCAACTCATCCCCTGCACTGGATGTTTTTCCTTTGCCTCTCCAAGTCCACTACTCTTATCTACCCTACTCTGTGTCTGTGAGGCTGAGATTCATAGTCTGAATCAGTGGAATTCCTTGCTCTCTAGCTTCAGGTTAGGGTTGCCCAGTGAGAGTCACTGGGATATGGGCAGGCAGGCGGGAGGGAGGTCCGATATCTCATGCCACAACTTTCGCTTTGCCTCAAGTTGCCTAGGGTTATATAAAAAGTTCACACTCTCAGCAGCCCTCTGTTTTCACAATACTTTCTCTAGTACAAGGTTTCTAAACCTTCACACTATTGACATCTTGAGCCGGATAGTTGTTCATTGTATGCATCTGTTTAGCAACATTCCTGGCCTCTCCGCACAAGGTGCCAACAAGATCCACTCAGTCAGGGCAATCCAAAATGTTTCCAGACATTGCCAGATGTCCCCCAAGGAGCAAAATCTCCTCCTACCCACCACCCCACCATTGAAAACAACTGACAGCAACTCCTTCCAGGTTCCAGGTTTATTACTAAGTGCCCCCCTTGGCGCCTTAGACTTAGGGTTAGTAACATGCCTCTCATTGCTACCACGGCAGTGTTTATCTATTCCTGGTTGGTTCCCTTTGTTTTGTAAATAGTCCTTTATTAAAATTCTTTTCAGTTCCCTCATTTGAATGTGCTATATATTTGCTGTAGGGACATTGACTGATATATGCTCCATTCTTCCCCAATCCCACTAAACTGTTGACTGGCTACCACTTAATAACTTGATCACTTTCTTTAAATCTTTACACAAGTCCTATTTATAAGAGAAATGGAGTATTAATTGAGAGTCCACTGCATGTCAAATATGCTGACTGGTATTTACATATTGCAGTAAACAGAAGTTGATTGCATCCTGCTCCATCCCAGCATCCATTTTCTCCTTCCAAAAAGCACCCTAATTTGGGTTCAAGTATCCACCACTCCCATTCCATACATAAAATATGCCCTTCAGGCAGAGCGCACCCCACTGCTAGCTTCAGAGGCTGATTGTTCTAAGGGTAATCCCATTGTCCTCGTAAGTGACTGGCTTGGGAGCCCAACCATGGACCACCTAGTGAAAGATGTTACTTAGGCCATAGACTTGGCTCACTAACGGGCATGCATTACAATTTGGTCAAGTGACCAAATTGGCATGAAGTTAGGTTTCATGGGAGTTCTGGGAAAGACATTTTCTCATTTCAAAAAGAAAGCCACCCCAAATGGCCTTTTTTCCTCTGAATTTTCTTTGTGCATTTTAAGTCCTAAAGCTCTTGTAGCCATGTCAGTACTTGTATGAGGAAGAAGCCAGCTCAGGCAGGAAGGCAAAATATAAAGAATCCCAAAGAAGGAGAGCCACCAATTCAACCATATCTGACCACTGACAAACATCTACACTTTCTCAATTTTGTTATCCAATGTATTTCTTCATTTTGAAGGAAATTTGAGTTGGGATTTCTACCACTTGTTACTAAAAGTTTTCTAGCTAAGACATTCATTCAATTGATTCAACAATTGCATATTTTGTGCTTACTAACAACTAGACTCTGCTTTAGGCATTGGAGCTGCTGCAATGACCCCAAAAGACCAAAAGTGACAAGCAGAGTTATGTGTTTAATTTTCAGATCATCTCTAAGAGCTAGATGTAAGTGTCAAATGCTGATAGAATTCTCAGCTGAGAGATATTAAGTGACTTGTTTAAAGAGACCCAAGTAGAAACTGTTGGAACCAGACTAGGCTGGTCTGATGACATGGCCTTTCTATTTCACTCCTCTCAATTAGAATCAGCTATATCAAATCTCCCATCTGTCACTTAATCTAGACCAGTGACCGGATAGACAAGACATAAATTTGGTAAAATTTGATAAGGAGGAGGCAGTTAGGTAGTCCAAGAGTCTGGAATAGTCTCCATGAGTTTAAGGGAGAACAACAATGGACTTGGAGTTGCCCTCCACTGATGACTTGCCCTTCTTTGGCTCTTGCTGATTTGCAGAGCCCTCAAAGTGTTGCCCATATTCTCCAACCTGTAGCCTCAGAGCAATCCTAATGGCTCTCAACTGAGCTAACTTCTGCTTTCTTTGTAGGAGCCTAGAGAACATCTGCATCCTTCTGTACATGTCCTGATCCCACGTTTACTCTATCCCTACATTCCAATTGGAGGCCAGTGTAAAGCTCTGTTTTCAGATTTCCCCTCGATGACTACCACTCTACCAGATGCCCTCCTGGGTTTGCAACCCAGAGAAAGGAAAGCACACACACCTGTCTGATCAGTTACCTCCCTTCATGTCTTAGCTCTTTCTTCCTCCCACTCACATAGGGTAGCACAGGCAGGATTTATACTTCTTCATGTTTTTCAGATGTCGTTCCTATTTTACAACCCTGACTCTGACCTTTTACTGGGACCATAGGATGGACTGGGTGCAGAGATAGAAGCCACTTGGTTAATAACATTCCTTATGAAGCATTCCAGAAATAGTGACCCTATTTCATTACAAATACCAGCACAATTACTAGGTGGAATTGTTTTGGAATCAAATAAAATTACATAAAAGCTGTTGCTAAGATGTAAAGAACCATACAAATGTAAGATATCATAGTGTTATGCAGTCACAAGGAAACAATCCATTTAGCCATATATTCTAATTTCAATATATCTTTGTACTGAAGTAAATTATAAAGTTAAATTAAAAATGCCAACTGCATACTATTACAATATGAAGCAAGATATCCATCAATAGATTATACTGTAAGTTGTTAGCAAATCTCAGACTCATCAAATAATACTTTCAGGTGAGGTAGCCTTACAGCTTCACAATCAGTGGATCTCAGCCCTAACTGTAAAAGAGAATCACCTGGGCAGGACTGGAATAATTACAGGTGTCCAGGCTGTACCTTAAAACCAAATAAATTATAATTAATTTTTGAGAGCAATAAAATTACATGAAAGAAACAGAAGAAGATAATAGTTATTGATATAAAATTAAAAATTTTAAAGTTGGAGCTTCTCTGGAACATCAGGACCTCAATATAGATGAGTAAACTAAAGTTAAGAAAAACTGAGACTATTCAGACAACCTATAATCATATTTTCAAAGCTAGAGAAATAAAAAGTGATTTTATTTAGATATCATTTTATTTTTAGAGAGAGAAATATGAAGATTTGCCAGATTTGTCCAAAGTCTTCTTCCACCTAAGACCCCTGAATTACACCAGGACTTTCAAATATAGGGATGGCATTTCCTTCCAGAATTCTCTGCCCTCTGAGTCAAGCATTTCAGCATCAGCACCTGCTTCTCTGCCCATTGCCCAAGTGATAGCACGACTTCAGAGAAATGCGAAGTACTTCTTACTCACACTTAAATTGGCCTAAAACACCAGCTTGATCAGAAACACAGATGCCTGAAATAGAAATAGTCCTGTCTCTCTGGTTCCCAGGGCCAGAAGACAAATGGGATGGGGGCCAGAGCCACAAAGGAGGTGCTGTTGGAGCCGGCATCCCAGCGGCAAAGTGAGTCATCACTGTCATTCAAGATGTGTCCAAAAGCAACCAGAGCTTAGGGGAAGAGGAGTTTTTTGGTGTGTGTGTGTGTGTGTGTGTGTATGTGTGTGTTTTCTGAGACTCTACAAAGATGGTGGTGACAGCAGCTGTGCTTCCTCCCCTTAGAAAGTCATTTTAGCATTAGATTTTCCCTAAGGAGGAAGCAGATGGAGAGAAGCTTGACTTGCATATATGTGGCTGCTGCTGGCATTCCTGCTGCTGCTCCTGACCCTGGATTTTTTGGAGAAATAGGCCTTTGGAGGAGGGAGGGAATAATTATTCAAGAGGCTCTTTTCATACCTGCTGAATTAAAGCCCCAAGGGCAAATTAATGTTAGGCGTTAACTGTATAGTCTCTGAAATTCTCCTAAAGATGGTAGCAATAGGCTATTATTTTTTGTAAAGTGATATTAACTCCTGATCTTTTAGTAAACATGGCAGGCACAATGGGTGACAGGCAAGGTAGCTACGCAGATGAATAGCACAGAATTCCCCAGAATGGTTATAGTCAAGTTCTTTAGCAGGACGGTGGATTGAATCCTAGGCTGTTTTTACATAGTCACCAACATATTTTCCTTTTGCACATAGTCTATTTCCCACCTTCACCCTACAGAGAAGCACCTGCTCCGTGCTGAGTATATTACCCAGAAGGGCAATGTAATTGGGTGAAAGCAAAGACATAAAAAAAAGAGTCTGCCTTTTTTTCTGACTTCACTTCCAAAGATTTAAGCCTTGAGGACATACTGAACTCCTATAATGGATAAAACATTTGCTTGAAAGATTCTCCTTTTCTGAAGCAGAGAGGAGAGATGAAAGGGGAGAGAATGAGAGCAGAGAGTTTAGTGAGAAAGAAAAGAGTGGGCCAAACCTGTTAAAGCCAGGCAAAATAAAAAACATTTTCAGGAAAGGGCAACCATGACATTGTTTAGGCACCTGGAAGCTGAAAGGGAGCTGAATTTTCATACTCAGACTACATACTCCCAAGATAATGCAAGCAGTTTCTCCTACTGGCAATTGCATCTGAAGAGAGTTTTCCTTTATGAGCAGTCAGCATTTTATCAGGTGACCACAAAGAAGTTGACATCTGTCCTGACGCAAAGACTTGGCTTCATCCTTTTTATGTACCTCATATGGACATACTTTTGTTACACCCCAAAGAATGAGAGTGGCCACTGGTACCTAGGAGGTCCTCACATCTACTGTGTATCGATAGTTGGGAGAACAAAACAAAAACTTGTCAAGATTCTCCCTGAGGGAGGAGACTGATAAACATATCCCATTACAGATGTTACAGAGGGAATGATATAAGCATAAATAGAGCCAAATAGGAAAGAAAAAGAAAGGGTCATTTATGTTTCTAGGACAAGAAAAGAAATTGTGTCTTTGAGTAGGTGACACTGGGCACCAGTTTAGAAAGATGACTGAGTAGAAGACTTCCAGGTGGAGGGTTCAACAAGGAAAGCATAGCATCCGGGGAAGCAGAAGAGCAAAAGTTGTTAAGACATAAAACTCAAAGAAAATGCAATATAGAAACAGTAATTAATCACATCAAATGCATAGGAATCTTTCTAAGAGTTTACTGGACAATGGAAGTGTTCATTAGAGTTAGCCATTAGGAGAAGATTGGTGATTCTGATCAGAGCAAAGTCAGTGGATGGTTAAGTTCCGAGATAGATTATGCTAAACGGAAGAGTGGACTAGAAGGGGAGAAGTGACAGCATACATGAAGAGCAGTGGTTTTCAAAAGTGTTCCCTCTGATCAGCAGCATCAGTATCACCTGGAAATTTGATAGAGATGCAAATTCATGCCCCCTCAACTCCCACTCAGATGTACTGAACCAGAAGATAAGGAATGGCGTCAGAAATCTGTGTTTCACAAGTCATCCAAATGACTTTGATGCTTGCTATAGTTTGAGAACCATTGCTGTAGACTGTTCTTGTGATGAACTTGAAATGTTTATTTAATAATACCAGTGAGGACTTTAAGCAAGGACTTTTAAGTCCAGGAAATTCCTAAGAACAGGTGACTAAGAGGTTGAGAGAACAGCTCCAGATCCAGATAAGGTAACTCAAAAGAATGTCAAGATTACAGACTTAAAATTTGTTACCTTAACTGAATGAATTTTGCACCTTTTTTGGAAACAAGTATTTGACCGTCTATATAAAGCCCTCTAGGTGGAGTGGAGGTAGAGGGGAAGTGAGAGGATAGGAAGAGAGAGAGAGAGAATGAAACCAACAAGCATGCATATTTTTGTTCTTTAGAGAGTTGATTTATTTGTGGAGTTGAAAAGTCTATCAGGCCTTTTCGTGGCCTTGAAAATGTCCCTAAAGACTTTTATTTCCCACTTAATGTCTTCTCCCACTCCCCAAGCTATCTACCAATGACAGTTTAACATCCCAGACACTTTGATATTCAATCCATTCTTAGAACCTGGCAAGAAGCCCTTCCCCTGGGCCCTGTGCTTTAGTGCCCCACTCTGGCCCTCCTCTGAACACATCCATGGGTAAAGGATTGACCTGCTTCTAGCATCATGAGCTGGGTACCTGAGATTCTACAGGTCCCTGCTCCAATGGCTTCAAGTTTGACTCAAACATCTGTACCACCTCTTCCTTGGGTCCCACCTCCCAAAGGCAGGGAGAGGAGTGGCCAGTGGGTGGCTGTTCACTCTTAGTATCGATTGAACTTATGCTTATACAGCCTGTTCACAACATGAATGTGAGAGTCCTGGGAAATAAAAGGAAACAACCAGTTATAAAAAGAGATGGGCAGCTAGCTGAAGAGCACAGGCATGGAGGCCAGGGGCCATGCGGCTGGCTCCTCCTCACAAGGAAAGCTGAGAATTATAATTCTAACTGTCCTTCTAGATCATAATGAAGGTATGTTTGTCAAAATAGGAAGACAGAACATATTTTAATCAATAATAAATTAATTTATAATTTGTAAACACTTAAATGGTTTGTTAATGGTTTCTTGATTCGCACTCTTGCCTCAGGCCCCACAAATGTTACCGGTAGGCCTGCTAACTAGTCATAAATATTGTGGTCATGATAAAAAATATTTTGTATCACAAAGTTAATATGTTGGCCTTCTTATTTATGAATAAACCTCTGGTGAATTTTCTAATTGTAAACCACTTCCTTGGCATTCAGTCAACAGAATTCCCTACACCTGTATTCTTGAGAACTCGATCCAAACCATAGAGACCACATCAAGTTGATGGTGCTCATGTGATTGATCTAAGTACCAGCTGACATTCTGGGTGATATTAGTATATTTTATACAAGAGGAATAAAAAAGAAGGATAGAAAAAAGGAATATATTGAAGAGCTGAAGCCCCATATAAAGAACTTTAATTTTTAACACATAAAAAAGAAGAATGCCAGCCATTACTCAGCTTCATTTTAAAGGTTTAGAATTAATGGCAAAAAAGCAAAAATCTGTTGCATCAATTTGGAAAAAGCTGTTTTCAAATACTAAGTGTCCCTTAAGTACAATTATGGAAAATTGGAATAGAAAGTCTGTATATTGCACAAATAGAAAATAACGCGGGAGGCATAAAAGATACGTGTTGGAATCTATCTAAGCTCTAAAAATCAGGAATACCCTACTGAAGCTATTCTTAAGTACTTACTGGAGACCATTTAAAGTGACTAAAGCTGACAATGCAAGTGGGGACTGTGGTGCATTTAAGGCCAACTGCATATGGAATTGCTCCAAGGCCTGAGGCAGGTGGTAATGGAGATCAGTGACAACTCCCACCATCAGAGGCAGATAATCTGCATATTATCCCCAGGGACTCTCCAAACAGAGACAGTTTTTAACAGGAATTGTTTATTACAAAGGCAGGCAATTTTAATACCTTCCAAAGTTGAAAGGAAGAACTTAGAACATGTAGCATGTCAGAAGAGTATGTTGGTCTTTGGCATACACAGCTTAAAAACATAATTTTTCCATTGAGCTGAAAATCACAAGAAAGGTTTTAGATCATGGTTCAGTTTCTTGCAGATAAATATTTGAGTTCTAGTGGCTGCAGATTGAAGGAATACCATTCATACTTATCAAATGTAATTTTTAGAAAGATCTCAAGTATTATCTACCACATCTTTTGCCAATTTCATCTGAGGGAGTCAATAGGAAGTAGGGAAGAAAAAAAGTGGTAAATAGAAAAGGGGGAAGTACAGATGGTAAGGTAACACTAATAATATCTAAATTTGGATGTAATTCTTCCCTATTTAAAGAATTTTTCCGAACTCTGTTATTTGCTTGTTATAACCAGCCCATAAGTTTGGTATTATACATTCATTTTACTGAAGAAAAAAAAAAAACTGGATATAGAATTAAATGACTTATCCAAGATCACACAGAAGAGCTTTGAAGTTTGGGCCAGGATCAACAACGTAATTCCCAGTTCTGTAGCCATAATACTAGTGATTATATTTATGCTGCTGCCGCTGACATTTAACATATTTTGATTGCTATGTATTCAGCATTGTATCACGTAATCCTGCAAGCCAATGAGTTTGGATTAGTTATTGTCTTGCTAAATGAGACTTGGGGATAGAAGCTAAGTAACTTGGCCAAGTCACACAGTTAGAAAAGTGTCAAGAAGACCCAACTAACCACTTCTGTCTGCCATTGCTCTTAATAATTACGCTCTGTGTGTGGTGCAGACAGGTAAAATTCACCTGCTCATCTTTTGTTTTCAAACATAATGAAGAAACAAGCCATGATTGTCTTTTTCTGTTCTTTCACTTTAGTATTCTTTCATGCCCCTCTTCCTTCATTCCACACAAGTCAACCTTAAGTCTTTTTAAAATTAAAAAAAAAAAACTTTTTTAGTGCACTTGGGTTAAACACTAACTTCTTCACATCCTCAAGTAAATTTTCAATCATCCTTCCATTGGTCCACATTTCCCTCCAATATAGAAATTTTTTATATCCCAAGCAGTTAAATATTGGATCCTTTTAAGAATGTATTTTCCCATTCCATTCTATGTGCGCTCTTTGAGCTATCAGTCTGGGATAGAATCTGTCAGTTCCTTCATAGATATTTATAGTCTCTCCTTCTTCCATACAAACAGAACATTGGTTTTTCAACCAAATAAAACTATATTTTCCCAGCACCCTCAAGGTAGTGGTGGTCATTAGGCACATTTCTGGGTAACAAAATATAAGCGGAAGATAACTTGGCTATCTGGGAGAGTCTTGTCTTTCCTGATAAGTATCATCTTTTCTCCCTGTTGCTTTCTTCTTCTTGCATCTGTAATACTCAGGGAAGGCTAGGGGTCGAGCATCTTGGATCTATGAGATGACTGGGTAGATGAAAGTCACATATCAAAAACAGAGGAGCAGAAGGAGAGACCCATCTAAACCCTGATAGCAGCAAGAGTCACTGTAACAGTCCTGGATGTCTGGCTGATCCCTGGGTTATTTTCTATGAGAGCAAAATAAACCCTTATTTGGATAATCAACTATGATCTGTTTTATGTAGGTGAAAAGAATTTTATTGGACACACTGTGTTAATGCTGAGATAATAGTGTAACCAATGACACTCGTACAAGAACAAATCTAACAGCAACAAAATCAGCAATAATTATATTAGAAGAGTACACACTGAGGTTTCAGGGTTGTGAGTTTATATTTCAAAAATGTGAAACAGAAGCTGCTTTCCATGGGCTCTTGGAAAAGCGAAACATTAAGTGGCAAGAGATATAATCAATAGAGAAAGCAAAGTGATATTAAATGAAAATACAAGTTTTAAAAACTGATGTAAAAGTATAGTATACGGCCGGGTGCGGTGGCTGACGCCTGTAATCCCAGCACTTTGGGAGGCCAAGGTGGGAGGATCACCTGAGGTCAGGAGTTCGAGACCAGCCTGGCCAACGTGGTGAAACCCCATTCTACAAAAAATGCAAAAATTCACTGGGTGTGGTGGCTGGCGCCTGTAATTCCAGCTACTCGGGAGGCTGAGGTAGGAGAATTGCTTGAACCCAGGAGATGGAGGCTGCAGTGAGCCAAGATCATGCCACTGCACTCCAGCATGGGTGACAAGAGTGAGACTGTGACTCAAAAAAAAAAAAAAACAAAAGAAAAGAAAAAGAAAGTATAGTATACATGTTTATTTCTGTCATATGCAATTTTCTATGCACTTTTAACCCTGTGTGGTGCTAAAGCAAATATCAATGACCTAAATTATCTAGGTAGAACTCTGTTTAAGGCAAAATTGTACATTTGAAAAATGCTTTCATTGATGTCCCTTATTTTTTGCTACTGCTCTGCTGAATTCTAATATCCTCAGCCCTCTCCAAACCCTCATGATCTCTGAGGTAGTGTCTCATATTGTGTCCTCTGGCATAGCCTAAGACCACCCCCAAAACTCATTTGCCATGTTTTTCAAACTTTTAGGACATATATACTGAATTATACTAATATGTTAACTAAAAGATATGTCCCACTTCCACTTTATATAAAATACCCATAAAAACTTAACACAATTTTCTGGTAGGCCTTAAAGGCATGACTAATCACAGGAGTTTTCGGCACCATGGCACCGCAATGGGCCTTTCAGCTCTCCTTAAATGACCCTCTATAGGGAGCTGCCTATCCCTTTTGTAGAGTTAGCACTGTCTCCAGGAAAGGAAACCATCATACAGGCGATGGTTAAAAACAAAAACGAAACCAAAACAACAACAAAAAACCCAACAGTCATCACTGACCCCTGTCCCTTAGCAAATTCTTTCAGGATATATAATAAGCCAAAGGTGCCCTTTGCTGAATTTTTACTACTGAGCTCTGCATGGTTCTCCAGTGAGTACTGTGTAACTACAAAACAACCTTACTTTGGTTTTATAGCATCTAATCCCAAGCTTAGAAAGCCAGCAGTTTCTGTAATTCAATGCACCATTTTCCTTTACTAAATTTTGCATTGTGTTATTACACTTGTTTGTTGAGTCCCTTAGGATATATGGATTAAAATGGCTATTAGAGTAACTTTCATTTCTATTTAATTGAAAGTTGCTGGTCGGACAAGTGTTCTATGTAATTGTTCACATGGGATGTTAAAAAAAAAAAATCCATACTGTATTTTCCCAGACCTAAGCAGATCTGTAGGATTTTCTTCAACTTTGATATGTACTTTTTCCCCAAGCCAACTCTGAACTAAATGACCTCACCAGTTTAGTTAAGCTCTAACCTGGAAAAGGTTTTGCTCTTGAGATTCTTTTGTGAGTTTAAGCCTTTCTTTTCAAATTGATTGGTGGATGAGAAATTTGAACATTCAAGTCTCTATGAGGAATGATTTTTTTTAAATCAAATAACTCTAATTTCATATGGCTCTTTGTAATAACTTTTTATAATGTCATTCATTCTATCCATTGTTCCCACTTGTTTTCCATTTAGAGAATGAAATTCAGCATTTGTTAAAATGAAGTACCCGATAAACAATTATACTTAATGTGTATTTTCTCTTTTTCTGTCTCTTAGTGTATTGAAGTTATGGATTCAGACAGAATCTCTTTGCGAATGTGGACAGCAGACTGCACTCTGTCTTTTCATGCTGTCATATTCCTTTGTTGATATCTCTGTTTTAAGATGAGTTTGCCCCATGCATCACCAATTGTCTTTTGTTTTCACCCTGTAGGGAAGACTGGGCTAATCCATATGTCACTATGAAACTTCAGGCCTCTCTGTTTGACAGGTAGCAAGCCTGACAGCAATCTATTGAAAATGCATTTTAGACAGCAATCTATTGAAAATGCATTTTAGGCAATCATTTTTCCAGTCTAATTTACTCTTAATAAAATGACTTTGAAGACAAGAGGTCCACTCTGTGTTGGTTTGTTTCTTTCAGATAATTACATTTTGAGAAAGACACACTGACAGTTTTCACAAATACAAGATGATGAAATTCCCTTGGGAATGAAATGAGATAGCTTCACAATAAATAGCATCTTTTAGCCTAAGTGATCCCAAAGCACTTTGGCAACTGTGGACATTCATGTGACTCCCCAGGCGAAGAGAAGCAGCCAGACGTTTATCCAAGTCCTACAGCAAGACACATTCTATTCCATGCAATGGAAAAACACAGCACTAACCCTCCCCCCATGCACACACATCTTTACAAAATAAGGAATATTTCTGTATTGTATGTATATGTATGTGTATGTTACAATTGCTGGCAAAAGACTACAAATACATATGCATACAAAATATAAAACTGTATACATAAAAGCAATAGCATCAAACTATTTTTAACATGGCTTCATTTTAAAAATTCACTTGATGCTGCACATTTATTCAGAAATTGTTTTTTCTCCCTCCAAAGAAAATAATAATAATAGTTAATATCTACTGTCCCTTTATCCACATTCTGTTACCCTCGATAAGTCATTAATCAGATCTCCAAATTGAAAGAACAACTCCTTATAGAATTTACCTCACATAACATTTTGATTACATTTTGCCAAATGGATACATAATCATCCAGTAAAGAGTGTTAATTTATAAGGTGGGTGGTATTTTTTAAGCCATTACAATTTTGCTAAAATTTTAAAAACCCTCAAAGATTCTTAAACTGTATCATCAGGACCATCAGCTATTAATTATGTTGATTGAACAAAAACTGTCTATTCTACACTTAAAACATAATACAAAGAAGATACATTTGTTTTAATAACTTAAATGTTCATCTATGTTATTTTTGCTATATCAATAATAATTAGATTTTAAAATGGAAGAAAAATACAATTACATTTTAAAATTGGGAAAGAATGGTTAATTTTACTTCTCTGTTTAGCTAGGATACTGAATTCATAGATTCATTTTTACTTATATTAATTATCATTTTGATAAAAGACAGCAATGGTATTGTTATTCTTGCCAAAATGAAGTTCAGTAACAGAACCTTAACACTGAGAAAAGAACAGTGAAGCAAACATGACTGAGTGAAAATGACTGAGTCCCTGGGAATATTCGTGTCCCTCATTTAGCTCTTTAGCACGATTCTAAAGAGGAAAAAATAAAGACCTTTTCCCAGGAAAGGTTTCTCTCTCTCTCTCTCTCTCTCTCTCTCTCTCTCTCTCTCTCTCCTTCCCTCTCTCTCTCTGCCAATAAAAAGCAACACCACCACAGATTCTGGGAAGTTGGTGTATGAATTTTCATTTGTTGAACTTGCACCGGAGGCTGTGCTAGTCTCAGAATAGTGGAAGGTTTGGATTTCTCCCCCTCAAAATTCGAACTAATATTTAAAATATAATGTTTTGGTGCCATCTGGTGTATAAATTGCAGGTTTGCAGCTTCACTTAAGCATCTAATAAAATGCTTCTGAGGAAGGACAAAAGAAAAAGCCAGAAGAATGAAGAAATTATTAATCTTCACGTGTCACAAATAATGTGAAGCCAGTCACAAGATATGCTGGGAATTAGTGGTTACGAGATGGAGGAGAGGCAGAAGTCAAGGTGGAGGGACGAGGGAATGGGAGCAAGTGGTGTTGAAGCCAAACTAGCAAGAGCTCAAACAAGGACAGAGCAGCAGTATGGGCCTCATGTATCAGGAGGGCCACACATTGTTGTCTGAGTCAAGGTCACAAGCCTAAAGCATCTGAGCCACCTGAAGTCTATCTGGGCAGCTGGACTCCTTCTGGGATCCGTGGAAAGGTGGGAAAGGTCAAATCTTAGGGGCCAAAGGTCATTTCCAGCAAATGACTCTGGACAGCAGCAATTGGTCAGAGTCCGTGAAGACTCAGTTTTCCCAGTGGAAAATAATTGAGGCAGAAATTGAAAAATTGGGGTAGAGTATTGGCAGGAACTGAGTTGAAGGGTCAAAGCTAAAATTCCATTGCCAAAAATCTCTGGGGATTCAAAAGTACCTCAACTCAAAATTCATGTGCTTTCCCGTCATCAATCAAACCCTAAAACAAATAAACAATTAAACAAATAAACAAACTGTTCCTAGTCTTCCTTTTTCAAAGATGGCAAACTATCCAGTTTCCAAGCCAGAAAAATACAGTCTCTTCATGGCATTGCCATTTCTCATGTCCCATATCTAGCCAATCCCAAAGTCTTGTTGATTTCTCCCCTTAAATAAGTTTTGAATCTGCCCATCTCCCATCACTGACACCACCTGGTTTAAGCAACAACTCTTTCACCTGGTTGACAACTTCCTGATTTCTCCACCACCTTCCACTTCTCCTACTTCTAACCTGCTCTCCATAGCATGGTCAGGGCTGTAGTTTCAAAATGCAATCTGATTATGGTGCCACTCTTACTTAAAATGTTTCTGTCACAACCCCCCTCCCTTAGGATAAATGCCAAATTCTAACATGTACTGCAAGTCTCCACATGATCAGGCCTCTATTTTTCTAGTCTGTACTCTGCCTTGCCCCTGTGCACTCAGCTCTAATCACTGTGGCTTTCTTCACAGCCCTTTCTTCCTACTGCAGGATCTTTGCATATGCTACTTCTGCAGCCTAGGCCTTCCTCTCTTCCCACTGCATCTAGTTAACTCCTATTCATCTTTCAGAACTCAGCTCTAGATCCATGATTCTCCCTTGCCTTTTTAAGTAAAAGCCCCAATCTTAAATTTTAATAGCTCCAAATTGTTGCGGGAAGTCAGGGACCCTGAACGGAGGGACCAGCTGAAGCCATGGCAGAAGAACACAAATTGTGAAGATTTCGTGGACATTTATTAGTTCCCCAAATTAATACTTTTATAATTTCTTATGCCTGTCTTTACTGCAATCTCTGAACATAAATTGTGAAGATTTCATGGATACTTATCACTTTCCCAATCAATACCCTTGTGATTTCCTATGACTGTTTTTACTTTAATCTCTTAATGCCATCATCTTCGTAAGCTGAGGAGGATGTATGTCACCTGAGGACCCTGTGTTGATTGCGTTAACTGCACAAATTGTTTGTAAAGCATGTGTGTTTGAACAATATGAAATCTGGGCACCTTGAAAAAAGAACAGGATAACAGCAATGTTCAGGGAACAAGAGAGATAACCTTAAACTCTGACCCCCTGTGAGCCAGGTGGAACAGGGCCATATTTCTCTTCTTTCAAAAGCAAATGGGAGAAATATTGCTGAATTCTTTTTCTCAGCAAGGAATATCCCTGAGAAAGAGAATGCATCCCTGAGGGTAGGCCTCTAAAATGGCCACTTTGGGGGTGGCTGTCTTTTACGGTCGCAGCTAGCTATAGGGATGAAATAAGCCCCAGTCTCCTGTTGCGCTCCCAGGCTTATTAGGACGAGGAAATTACCACCTAATACATTTTGGTCAGACCAGTTGTCTGCTCTCAAACCCTGTCCTGATAAGATGTTATCAATGACAATGCCTGCCCGAAACTTCTTTAGCAATTTTAATTTCACCCCGGTCCTGTAGTCCTGTGATCTCGCCCTGCCTCCATTTACCTTGTGATATCTTATTACCTTGCGAAGCATGTGATCTCTGTGACCCACACCCTATTCGTACACTCCCTCCCCTTTTGAAAATCACTAATAAAAACTTGCCAGTTTTGCGGCTTGGGGGGCATCACAGAACCTGCTGACATGTGATGTCTCGCCTGGACACCTAGCTTTAAAATTTCTCTCTTTTGTACTCTGTCCCTCTATTTCTCAGACTGGCCAACACTTAGGGAAAATAGAAAAGAACCTACGTGAAATATCGGGGGTGAATTTCACCCAATGTCTGGCTGAATTTCCCCCCATACCAAATTTCTCTCATTTGGGCAAAAATCACTCTTGCAATTTTATTCTTAGAAATCATTTGAATATTTATCTCCCCCACCAGAATGTAATTCTTATGAAGACAGAGACTACCTATATTTTGGTTCATTATTATATATCCTGGGACTAACACAGTGCCTGAATTAATAAATACCTGATAAGAAGGAAGAGAGATAGGAAGAAAACAAGGAAAGAATGAAATGTCAGGAAATTATAAAAACTGTTACAATAGTAAAAGCTAATTTTTTCTAAAACTCAATATATAATTAAAAGTTTTCTTAAGAAGATCATCCTGAACCTTCTTTATAATCCAATATATATTGTAAATGCCCTTCTATAATCCTAACAGCTAAAGGCTCATGTAATGTAGTAGTTAGGCATGGCGCTGCTCAGGCCAGACAGCCAGAGGTCCAGTCACAGCTCCTGTGCTTACCAGCTGGAGATCTCAGCCAACTTACCTTCTCCTTTCTAATGCTCAATTCCTTATGCATAAAAGAGGAATAATAGTTCCTGCCTTACAGAGTTGAGAGAAACAAATCAGGTAGCTCAAATGAAGTATTCAGTAAATTCTCAAGCAATACCAGCTTTTATCATCCTCCATGAGTGAACCCTGTTGTAACACCCTATCACTCATGGCCATCAAATCCAGACACATTTCCTTTGCCTCTGCTTTCCCATTCCTTCCCACTTCCTGCCATCTGGGCCCATCACTGCGAAAACACTCCTCACCCTCAAAGACTTCATTCAAATGCTGCCTTCTCTAGAAAGGCTTCCATGCCCCTTTGTAAAAACTCATATATATATTTAGTTAGTATATCCTATGTTGCCCCATTCATACTTGATGAACTCATGCATAACACTTATAATAGGTATATATAACAAGCACCAAATCGTCTAACTTCTGCCTTTACAAATTTTATTTTAAAAAATCATTTAATTACCTACAGTACAAGATACCTAATTTTGGAACTAGATTCATGTCTTTTTGTGCAATTTTCTCAATCCTGTTACTTCCAACTATCGTAATAGTCATGACAATTATTTAGCATTCACCATGTGGCCACATGGTGCTATTTTAAACTCTACCCTAGGGGACTGTGTGGGAAAGTCAAAGGACGGCAAGCAGTAGAGTCTGTGTACTGTGAAGAAAAAAGAAAGGAAAACAGGGATGGAGGAGCAAGTGGCTGGCTGGAGGACAACACATTGCTTGCATCACTGGGAGAGTCCCAGTGCTGGCTTTTGAAGGACACGCAAAAAAAAAAAAACAAACAAAAAAAAACAAATGGGGCTGGATGCGATGGCTCACACCTGTAATCCCAGCACTTTGGGAGGTCGAAGCGGGCGGACCACAAGGTCAGGAGATCGAGACCATCCTGGCTAACGTGGTGAAAACCCGTCTCCACTAAAAATACAAAAAATTAGCCAGGCGTGGTGGCGGGCACCTGAAGTCCCAGTTACTTCCCTTCATGTACACTTGAATTTGTAATCTGAAATGAACACCTGCTACCACTGAAACTTAATAGCTATGTTCAACATTCTGCATTGCACACAGTAGCCTACCATAAATATTTTGGTTTGGGTTTTTTTGCTTGCTTGCTTTTTGTTTTGAGAGAGGTTGATATTACTTGCAATATCGCAGGGGGTGTACAACCCCTGTGAACCCGGCAGGCGGAGGTTGCAGTGAGCCGAGATCGCGCCACTGCACAGCCTGGGCGACAGAGCAAGACTCCGTCTCAAAAACAAAACAAAACAAAAAATTGGCGAGGGTATAGTGAATTTTTATCACCCGCCATGCTCGGTGATCACAATGCCATCTTACAACAGTACCAAAGAAGTGATAACTTTTCTTTCCCTCCTTTCCCACTAGAAGAAGATTCAGATGAGACAGAGAAGAATTTCTCACTTTAAATCAAATTTGGAGTTTTTATTGTTACATGAGAGCAGACTATTTTCAGAACTGAGGTAGTGTTTACAACCTTGAATATCTGAAAGTCTTTTAAATATCCAATATGTAGCAGAAAATTCACCAGTCAGCTTGTATTTCCAACCAGCAGCAGGGAAAGTACTTTCCTACTGAATAAATTTTAAAAGGACAGTGGAAGATAAAAATAAAGATGCTTTCTGATTATATCTCATGAGTGCTGCTTGTTCAACCTGTTATTTACTTTAATTCTCATAATACTATAAGATAATCTTAGTACAACTAAGTACCATTCCCATCTTAAAGATGAGAAACGAATGCATTGAGGGTTTAGGTAAGTTTGGATTCATCATATAAACTCAGTATTTGAGCTCACCTTATGCTTAGCCACTCCACCATAGGTGCTCCAATATATTATAATCTTATGCAAGCACATTAAACTTTTTAAGTTTATTCTTTATATTTACAGTTTCTCTTCTTCTCTTAAATGGGAGTCTACATCAGAGCTCATTTTATTGATTCACTGAAGTTTTTGGCAGCTCCCTGAAAACTGGCTGGGATCCCTCCTCCCTAGAGCACCATGAAGCCAATTTCCCCCTCTCCAGCCCATGGAAGGGCTGCCAGAAGGCTGTGGGTAAAGATTTCTATTTCTCTGGACCCCACAAAATTATCTTTCTTTCTAAACCTTGGAAAATCCCTTTTCAGTCTGGGGAACAGTGTGTCTTTCTGTAATTCCTTACCTTTAAGTAGACTGGGACCAGAGCTTCTTTGTATTAAAAAGTTGAATTTCCAGATTTACTTTAAAAAAAAAAATGGAAGCTTGAATTCCCTGGCTCCTATCTCATAGAACAAAAGCTGGAGCAGGGTAAGAGACACCTTTTTTACCCAGACCACCGCCCTCCAACTCACCACAGACCCCTTCAGCTCACCACTCCTGTTATTTTATCTGCCAGACTCCTCTAAATGTTTGGATTTCTGAAACTTGGCTTGGATTTTAGAAACCAAAGGCGGGAAGGTTTGTTGTGACTCCTTTGGAAAATGCCATAATTTTCCCCAGAAGGGATGAAGCACAATAAGCTATCTGCTGTTCTGGATGACAAAGGGGGACAAAAAACAGGACAAGATGGGGAAAAGGGGGCCGGGCACAGTGGCTCATGCCTATAATCCCAACACTTTGGGAGGCCAAGATCGGTGGGTCACTTGAGACCAGGAGTTCGAGACCAGCCTGAGCAACAGAGGGAAACCCCATCTCTACCACAAAAAAAGTGAAAAAAAAAAAATCACGAAGTGTGGTGGTGTGCATCTGTGGTCCCAGCTACTCCAGAGGCTGAGGTGGAAGGATCATTTGGGCCCAAGAGGTCGAGGCTGCAGTGAGCTGTGATTGTGCCACTGCACTTCAGCCTGGGTAACAGATGAGGTCCTGTCTCAAAAAAGCGGGGGAGAGGCGGAGAAAGAAAACCCTCAAAATTTGATCCACCTGCTAACTTTTTCTAGTAAAGAAAATTCACTTCCCTTCATGTACACCTGAATTTGTAATCTGAAATGCACACCTGCTACCACTGAAACTTAATAGCTATGTTCAACATTCTGCATTGCACACAGTAGCCTACCATAAATATTTTGGTTTGAGTTTTTTTGCTTGTTTGTTTTTTGTTTTGAGAGAGGTTGATATTACTCCCAATATCGCAGGGGGTGTACAGCCCCTGTGATATTGTTTTGTTACTTTTAACGTCACAGGGGGTGTATACTCTGTGATATTATTCATAAATTCTAAGGAGATATTACTTCAAAGTGGATGTGCACATGGTGTACACCCACTGTGATATTTGTAATATTTTAGGTAGTTATTACTTCTAATATCACAGTGGATGTACACCCTGTGATATTTTTCATAATGTTTTAGGGAGATATTACTTCTAATATCACAGTGGTTTTACTCCATTCGTGTACAGCCTGTGATATTATTTGTAATATCCAAGGGAGATATTACTCCTAATATCACACAGTGGGTGTACACCTTGTGATATTATTTATAATATTCTAGGAAGATATTACTCCTAATATCACAGTAGGTGTACACACTGTGATATTATTTGTAATATCCTAGGGGTGATGTAACTCCTATTGTCACAGTGGATGTACATCCTGTGGTATTTTTGGTAATATCCTAGGAGGATGTTACTCCTAATGTTACAGGGGGTGTACACCCTGTGATATTATTTGTAATATACTAAGGGGATGTTACTTCTAATGTGTGCACCCTGATATTATTTGTAATATCCTAAGGGGATGTTACTGCTAATGTCACAAGGGGTGTACACTCTGTGATATTATTTGTGATGTCCTAGACAGACGTTACCCCTAAAGTCACAGAGGGTGTACACCCTGTGGTATTACTCATAATATCCTAGGGGAATGTTACTCCTAATGTCACAAGGAGTGTACACCCTGTTATATTATTCAGAGTATCCTACTGGGATGTTACTCCTAATGTCACAGGGGGTGTACTCCCGTGATATTATTCATAATATCCTAGCGGATGTAACTCCTAATGTCACGGGGGTATACACCTTGTGAAATTATTTGTAATATCCTATAAAGATGTTACTCCTCATGTGACAGGGGGTGTACACACAGTGATATCATTCATAATACCTTAGGGGGATGTTACTCCAAATGTCACAGAGGGTGTACACCCTGAGATATTATTCATAATATTTTTAGGGGATGTTACTCCTAATGTCACAGGGGGTGTTCACACTGTGATATTATTCATAATATCCTAGGGGAATGTTACACGTAATGTCATAGGGGCTGTACACCCTGTGGTATTGTTCGTAATATCCTAGGGGGATGTTACTACTAATGTCACAGGGAATGTCCACTCTGTGATATTATTCCTAACATCCTAGGGGGATGTTACTCTTGATGTCACATGGGGTGTACACCATGTGTGTACACCCCCTGTGGTATTATTTGTAATATCCTAGTGGGATTTTACCTTTAATGTCACAGAAACTGTGCTCCATGAGTGTACACCTTCTGTGATATTATTTGTAATGTCCTAAGGAGATGTTACACCTAATGTCACAGGGATGTACACCATGTGTGTCCACAACCTGTGATATTATTCGTAATATCCTAGGGGGATGTTACTCCTAATGTAACTTGGGGTGTACATGCCTTGGGGTGTATACAATGTGTGTACACCCCCTGTGATATAATTTGCAATAACCTGTGGGGGTTTTACTTTTAATGTCACAGGGGTTTTATACCTTGTGTGTACAACCTTTGTGATATTATTTGTAATACGCTGGGGGATATTGTTCCTAATATTTTGGTAGATGTTACTCCTATGAAACAGGGGGTGTATACCATGTGTGTACACCACAGGGGGTAATATCATTCCTAATATCTTAGGGCAATGTTACTCCTAATGTCACAGGGCTTGTACACCATGTGTGTGCAACCCCTGTGATATTATTCATAATATACTAGAGGGATGTTAATGTTAATGTAACTTGGGGTGTACAACATGTGTGTACACCACCTGTGATATTATTCCTAATATCCTAAAGGGATGTTACTCCTAATGTCCCAGGGGTTGTACACCCTGTGATATTATTCATAATATGCTAGGAAGATGTTTCTCCTAATGCCACAGGGGGTGTACACCATGTGTGTACACCACCTGTCATATTATTCATAATATCCCAGTGGGATGTTACTCCTAATATCACAGTGGGTGTACACACTGTGTGTACACCCTGAAATATTATTCGTAGTATCTTAGGCAGATATTACTCCTAATAGAATAGTGGGTGTCAACCCTGGATTATTTTTCATAATATTCTGGGGAGACATTACTCTTAATATTACAGTGGGTTTACACCTTGGGATATTATTTGTAATATCTTGCAGAGATATTACTACTGATATCATGGTGAATGTACACCCTGGGATATTATTTGTAATATCTTAGGGAGATATTACTTCTAATATCACAGTGGGTGTAAATTCTGGGATAGTATTCGTAATAACCTGGGGAGATATTACTCCAATATCACAGTGGGTGTGTACCCAAATATATTATTCGTAATATCCTGGGGAGATATTAGTCCTAATACCTCAGTGGGTGTACACCCTGGAATATTGTTCATGATATCCTGGGGAGATATTTCTCCTTATATCACAGTGGGTGTACACCATATGGGTACACCCTAGGATATCATTCATAATATCCTGGGGAGATATTAGTCTCTCAATATCACAGTAAGTGTACACCATGTGTGTACACACTGGGATATCATTCGTAATATCCAGGGTAGATATTATTCCTCTAATATTACATTGGGTGTACACTATGTGCGTACAACCTGGATATTGTTCGAAATATCCTGGGGAGATACTACTTTCCTAATACCACAGTGGGTGTACAACATTTGTTTACAACCTGGGATATTATTCGTAATAACCTGCAGAGATATTACTCTCCTAATATCAAAGAGGGTGTGCACCATATGTGTACACCCTGGGATATTATTTGCAATATTTTGGGGAGATATTACTCTCCTAATATCACAGTGTGTTTACACTTTGTTTGTACATCCTGAGATATTATGTGTAATATCCTGGGGAGATATTTCTCTCCTAATATCAAAGTAGGTGTTCACCATGTTTGTACACCCTGGAACATTATTAGGAATATCTCAGGGAGTTATTACTCTCCTAATATCACAGTGGGTTTACACCATGTGTGTACATTCTGGGATATTATTTGTAATATTATGGGGAGATATTACTCTCCTAATATAACAGTGAGTGTACACGATGTGTGTACAACCTGGGATATTATTCAAAATATCATGGGGAGATTATAGTTTCCTAATATCACAGTGTGTGTACACCATGTGTGTACACCTTGGAATATTACTGGTAATATTCAGGAGAGATATTACCCTCCTAATATCACAGTGTGTGATATTACACCCCATATCGCAGAGGGTGTACACTCTTTCTTTGATGTTGTTCCTAATATCCGGGGGGAAACATGATATTACTCCTAATATCGCCAGGGTTGTACACCCCCCTTGTAATATTGTTCCTAATATCTAGGGGGAGAGAGAATGATAATACTTAAGATATCGCAGGGGGTGTACATTCCCCAGTGATATTGTTCCTAATAGCCAAAGGGGAGAGGATGACATTACTCCCAATATCGCAGGTGGTGTACACCCCTTCTGTGACATTGTTCCTAATATCCAGGTGGGGAGTGGATGATATTACTCCCTATATCGCAGGGGATATACAACCCCTTTGTGATATTGTTCCAAATATCCAGGGGGTGAGAGGATGATATTACTCCCGATATCGCAGTTGATGTACAGCCTTTCTGTGATGTTATTCCTAATATCTATGAGAGGAGAGGATAATATTACTTTCAGTATCACAGTGGGTGTCCAGCTTCCTTGTGATATTGTTCCTAATTTCCAGGGGAAAAATGATGATATTACTGTCAATATCCCAGAAGGTGTACACTCCCCCTGTGATATTGTTCCTAATATTTAGGGGGAAAGAGAAAAATATTACTCCCAAGATCCCAGGGGTGTACAACCTTGTGATATAGTACCTAATATCCAGGTGGAGAGAGGATGATATTACTCAAAATATAACAGGGCGTGTAGACCCCTCCTGTGATATTGTTCCTAATATCCAGGTGGAAAAATGATATTACTCCCAATATCACAGGGGGTAGACACCCCCGTTGTGATACTGTTTCTAATATTCAGAGGGGAGAAAATATAATATTACTCTGAATATATCAGGGAGTGTACACACCCCCTTTGATATTGTTCCTAATATCCTGGGGGAAAGAAAATGATGTTACTCCAAAATTCGCATAGGGTGTACATCACCCCTGTGATATTGTTCCTAATATCCAGGTGGGGAGAGGATGATATTACACCCAATTTCGCAGGGGGTGTACACCCCCACAGTGATATTGTTCCTAATCTCCATGGAGGGAGAGGATGATATTACTCTTAGTATCACAGGGGCTGTATATCTCTCCTGTGATATTGTTTCTAACATCCTGGAAGGGACAGGTTGATATTACTCCCAATATCGCAGGGGATGTACACCCACCCTGTGGTACAGTTCCTAATATCCAGTGGGGGAGAGGATGATATTACTCCCAATATCACAGTGGGTGTATACCCCCCAGTGATGTTTTTTCTAATATCCAGGGGAAAAAAGGATGATATTACTTTCAATATCACAGGGGTTGTGCACCCTCCGTGATATTTTTCCTAATATCCAAGGGGGGAGAGGATGACGCTACTCCCTATATCACAGGCAGTGTACACCCACCCTGTGATATTGTTCCTAATTTCCAGGGAGTGAGAGGGTGACATTACTCCCAATATCCCAGTGAATGTACACCTTTTCTGTGATATTGTTCCTAATATCCAGGGAGGCAGAGGGTGATATTACTCCCAATATTGCAGGGGTTGTACACCTCCCCTAGGGTATTGTTCCTAATATGCATCAGAGGAGAGGATGATACTACATTCAATATCACAGGCTGTGTACACCCCTCCCCCACCGTGATATTTTTCCTAATATCTATGGGAAGAGGATATTACTCCCATATCGCAGGTTGTGTACACCACCTTTGTGATATTGTTCCTAATATTTAGGGGAAAAGAGGATGACATTACTCTCAATATTGCAGGAGTTGTACACCCGTCCTGTGATATTGTCCCTAATATCCAGTGAGGGAGAGGATGATATTACTCCCAATATCACAGGAGGTGTACACCCCCTCTGTGATGTTTTTCCTAACATTCAGGGAAAAGAGGATGATATTACTCTCAATATTTCATGGGGTGTACACCCCTCCGTGATATTGTTCCAAATATCCAGGGGGATAGAGGATGATATTACTCCCAATACTGCAGGGGATGTACACCCCCCCGTTATATCATTTTTAATATTGAAAGGTGAGAGGATGATATGACTCCCCATATCGCAGAGGGTTTACGCCACCCCTGTGATATGGTTTCTAACGTCCAGGGCGGAAAATGATGTTATTACTCCCAATGTCGCAGAGGATGTACACGCCCCTGTAATATTGTTTTTAATATTTAGAAAAAGAGAGGATGATATGACTCCCAAAATTTCAGGGGGTGTACACCCCTTAAACGATATTGTTCTTAATTTCCAGTGAAGGAGAGGGTGACATTACTCCCAGTATCGTAGGGGGTGTACACCCTTCTGTAATATTTTTCTTAATATTTAAAGGTTGAGAGGATATTACTCTCAATATCACAGGGGCTGTACAACCCCTGTGATATTGTTTCTAATATCCAGGTGGGGAGAAAATGATATTACTCAAAATATCACAGGGGGTGTACACCTCTCCTGTTATATTGTTCTTAATACCCAGCTTGAGAGAAAATAATATTACTCCCAATATCGCACTGGGTAGACACCTTTTCTGTGATATTATTCCTAATATCCAAGGGAGAAAAAGAGGATATTGCTTCCAATAAATCAGGGAGTGTACACCCCCCCTTTGATATTGTTCCTAATATCCTGGGGGAAAGAAAATGATATTACTCCCTTTATCGCATGGGGTGTACACCTCCCCTGTGATATTGTTCGTAATATCCAGGTGGGAGAAGATGACATTACGCCCAATTTCACAGGATGTGTACACCCTCACAGTAACATTGTTTCTAATCTCCAGGGGGGAGAGGATGATATTACTCCGAATATCGCAGAAAGTTTATATCTATGCTGTGATATTGTTCCTAATATTAACGGGGTGGGGGGGGGAGAGAATATTACTCCCAATATCGCATGGGCTGTACTCTCAACCCGTGATATTGTTCCTAGTATGCAGGGGTAAAGAGAGTAATATCACACCCAATATCACCGGCGGTGTACAACTCCCGGTGATATCACAGCAGGTGTACATCCCCCTGTGATTTTATCCAAATATCCAAGGAGGAAGAGGATGATTTACTCCCAATATCGCAAGGAGTGTACACACACTCTGTCATATTGTTACTAACATTCACGGGGGGAGAGAATATTACTCCCAATACTGCACAGGGTGTACACCTTCCTGTGATATTGTCCACAGGGGGTGGACATCCCCCGTGTGATATTGTTCCTAATATCCAGGCGGGTCAGGATGACATTCCTCCCAATATCGTAGGGACTGTACACCCCACCTGTGATATTGTTCCTAATATCCAAGGGGAAGGGGATGATATTATTCCCAATATCTCAGGGGGTGTACACCTCCCCCCCACCGTGTTATTGTTTCTAAAATTCAGGTGGGGAATGGATGATATTACTTCAAATGTCTTAGGGGTGTACACGTCCTGCATGATATTGTTTCTAACATCCACAAGAGGAGAGAATGATATTACTCCCAATATAGAAGGGGGTGTACACCCACACTGTAATATTGTTTTTAATATCCAGGGCTTTTAATATTGTTTTTAATATCCAGGGAATAATATTATTCCCAATATCGCAGGGGGTGTATGCCCCCGCTGTGATATTGTTTCTAATATCCAACTGGAGAGAGGATAATATTGATTCCAATATCACAAGGGGTGTACACTTTCCCTGTGATATTGTTCCTAATATCTGCGGGGGGGGGGGGAGTGATATTACTCCCAATATCGCAGGGATGTACATTCCCCCTGTGATATTGTTTCTGATATCCAGGTGGGGTAAAGGATGATATTACTCCCAAATTCGCAGGAGGTGCACACACCCCCTGTGATATTGTTTCTAATATTCTGGTAGGTAGAGAATGATATTACTCCTAATATATCAGGGTTGTCTACCCCCTCTGTGATATTGTTCCTAATATACAGGGGAAAAGAGGATGATATTAATCCCACCTCCAGACATCAGGCGATTATTCCACCTCAGCTTCACAAATAGCTGGGACTACAGGTGCACGCCACTATGCCCGGCTAATTTTTGTAATATTTTTCATAGAGACAGGGTTTTGTCATGGTGCCCAGGCTGTTCTGGAACTCCTGGGCTTAAGAAATCCACGGCCTTAGCCTCCCGAAATGCTGGGATTACAAGCGTGAGCCACTGTGCCCACACTGTGCCTGACCTTCCATAAATACTTACTCAATCAAGTTGTGTTACTGTTTTTAAGTAGATTAATACAAAAATGTTTGAGATCAGCATCTATGCCTAACAGAGACAATAATTTGTTCAGTAGGTTTTATTTGCACTCCCATCCTTTGGAATTGCAAAGTATACAAGTAAGAAAGATACAATTGATTCATGACTAAATAATTAGTTCTTTGGGCCCCAAACATTATTAAAAATGGAGTTATTAGAAAGCTGGCACTCTATCCCAGATGTGTCAGCTATATAGATCAAATACACACAAAGTAACAAAGGATTCTTCAGAGTTACCTGGATAAATTCAGTAACCCGTATTTCCTCTGGGTAACAATGCTTTGACTTGTCAGTAAAAGGAGGGTGTATGGTCTTTGGCTAAATTTTCAAAGTAATTGCATGTCTACCCAACCAGAGAAAGAGTACGTGGTATCGAGGAAGTCCCTAAAATAAGGATAGCTCAATAATATGAGGATGTTTGAAATGATTAATTGCCCTCCCAGCTAATGATAAGCCATTTCTTTAAGAATTCTCTCTAATGCTGGCTTTTGCTACTAGGCTAGCCCAGCTGAAAATGTTCTGCCAGCTTTCTAAACACTCTTCTTCTCCTTTATTTACTTTTCCCGTAAGACTAAGTACTTCAAAGACTGAGTCAGTATTAGGCCTATAATAACAAATACTGGATCCATTATGTTTTCAAATATCATTTGCTATTTGAAAGACTAGATCCTTTCATAGAAGTTGTGCTGGCTTATCAGCTGGGTTCAGCAAATACAGTGGTAGGTAATAGGAACTGGCAATCCTTAATTATCTATAGCATGCTAAATATTTTGCATGTGTTTTAAATATCTTTATTCAAATATCAATTCTTATAACAACCTATGTATTATAAAGGTGAAATCAGAGCTCAAAAAAGTGAAGTGACTTGTTCTAAGTCACATAGTAATTGAACTATGTGTTAAAAGCATCTCATGTGCTTTTAACTCATGGTCTAATCCACAATGTAGTCCTGAACTCAAGGCCTCATTGGTACCTTTAAAACACTCTAGGGAGGCCTAGAGAAGAGTCATGGCATCAAGATTTTGGATGAAGGGGCAGGAAGATACTTTGTTATTGTACTTGTTAGAAAAAAAGAAATATAATCTGAAATGCAAAATCCGGATGATTAATCACAGTCAGAGAAGGTAATCTCCACATCCTCTACATTAGCTTCAAGCTGCACCCTTGCCTATGGCTGTATTTTTGAGGGCTGGAAGTATACATGAGGTGCTTTTATCTAAAAATTTTAAAACTCATAATTAGCATCTACTGATTATACCTTATAGCATACATGACCCATCTGTCATTTTATCTTAACTCAGACATGAGAATTACAAAGGCCTAGAAAGGAAGGGGGGAAAGAAAAAGAAACAAGGAAAGAAAAGAAAATGAAGTCTAACTTTTCCTACAAAATTGTGGAAAATAACAATTGCAGTGTCTCACTCAAGAAAGAGTGATTTAAAATTATGTATTTATGACAATTTTTTTTTCTTTTTGAGAAGGAGTCTCACTCTATTGCCAGGCTGGAGTGCAGTGGCACGATCTTGGCTCACAACAACCTCCACCTCCCAGGTTCAAGCAATTCTTGTGCCTCAGCTTCCCGAGTAGCTGAGATTACAGGCACGTGCTACTACACCCAGCTAATTTTTTGTATTTTTAGTAGGGATGGGGTTTCACCATGTTGGCCAGGATGCTCTCGATCTCCTGACCCTGTGATCCACCCACCTCAGCCCCTCCCAAAGTGCTGTGATTACAGGCGTGAGCCACCGTGCCTGACCATATGAGGACTTTAAATTTGGGAATAGGGAGAAAAAATGTCTCAGTTGATATTCACATTTGAGTGTTGAAGTATTTCAAAGTTTAGGGATAGTCCCTGGAGTAGGTGGGTAGGTTTGCCTTTCACGTGCACATCTGCCTTGGGCATTCACGAATTGAGGATATTGAAAGCCAAAGAAGGCTGGGTAAATATCCATGTCCAAATTTTGCCCAGACTAGATAAACAATTGTTTCTCTCCAGACCAAAAAATAATATTAATAAAAAAAAAATTCCTCAAAATGGGTATCTCTAACCACCTGTTACCAGGTCAGCTGGAAGTGCTTATTAAAAATACAGCTATCTGAGCTACATCCTTTATGTTCTGCATCTGAATCTCTGTGGGAATTATCCACAAAACTGCACTCTTAACCAGAACCTCTCAAGTTATGCATACTAAATCCTGATAATCTCTGGAAGAGAGAATATTTAGTATATTTATTGACTAGAATGGCTTGTCTCAAATCATATTCTAACAGATGACAAAAATTAGTGATAACTCATGTTCAACTGCATTTTCAAAATACACATGTAAGAAAAATACTGAACAGTTATTCATCATTGTTACATGGCAGGTTGTCCATAAGGAACACAGTGCTACATATGAGAACATAGTAAAGCTTGTGAGCAATCATGTGTAGGCAGATGTGAGGAGGCGGACCTGCAGATTAATGTTAGGCACCATTTGCTCACTAACCATTACAATGTACCCATCTGTTTATGGTCCGTTATATATTTGAACCAGCCCCAATACAAGCTCCTTAGTCAAGTCTTGACCATCCAAGATCAAAAATAACAACTAGTGCTTATAGAGCAATTCTTATACAACAAACACTATGCTTTCTACCCTTGAGCTCACATAATTCCATAGCAACCCCCTGAGGTAGATTTCAGCATTAGCCCCATTTGATAAGCAAAAAACCCCTAGAAATTAGTAAAGTTAAATCACTGTATATAATCAGACAGTCTAAAAACTTTCACACCCTGAACTCAAATAAAGTTCTGCTGGATTCTTATCTAAAAATGAATTTTCTCCTAAAAATAATTTCTCCCTCCTCTAAATCACCCTAAGCCTTATACCACTGCTGAAATTTCACCATTCAGAATTCCTTTTTTTTGTAGTGGGGGCAGGGGGAGGGATTGCTAATCAAAACATCATTAATTCTCCTTTTACATTAAAATACTGATAGGTAGGGGATACTAGGTGTCAGTTCTTCAAACTTACTGTGGTTAAGAATCAGCAATGAGTACTGTTAAAAATTGCTGAACTACATGAAAAGAAAGAGCCTCAACAGGAGACTGTGGTTGGGGTGCACTGTCATGCTCAAATGAGCAGGACTGAAACTGGTGGAAGAGTAAATCCCTCTTATTTCTGGGAGATTTGAGGTTCCTGAGTGCTTGGTGACCAGGCACATGGGGCTGTCCAGAGGTGAGGATGCTAATCTGTAAATATGCACCCTGTCATTCGCCTAGAGTTGGTCCTAGTTGCATTAATGTACTACTTTCAAGCATATGAGCAAAAGAGTTATGCTTGAAGCCCAGCTCTGCCATATGCCAGGTGGGTTAAAATTGGCCCAAATCTGTTCCTATTGTTGGAACTCTTGCCCAGCAGTCATGCTTCTTAATGTCTGGGGCCATTGTGATCAGTCTTAAGAGAGCACATGGTCCCGTAATGTGTAAGACATTATTGAAGTAAACTGGTCCCATCTTAAGCCTGGCTCATTAAAAAAAAGTTCACTAAGATTTTATTGATTGGAACCCATTCATTCTTTCAATGTTATCTCTTATAGCTGCCTAATTGTATCTATCCTGTATTTCTCCCAGTCGCCATATCCTATAACCTAAAATAAACAGCAGTAGGAGAGGCTTCTGATATTTATCTTTTCATAGCCTCATTGTTCTCAATGCCACATTATCAAAAATTAAATAAACAAACCAAGCCATAGCCTACAACTAGTTCTAGATTTTTTAAGTTATTTAACCTTTAATTAACTGGAAAATCAAGTTGCCTAAGCTAAGTTTCCTGTATCTTATATAAAAGCCACAATACAATGGAGCTAAGAAAAATACAGAATGTCGGCCGGGCACGGTGGCTTACGCCTGTAATCCCAGTACTCTGGGAGGCCGAGGAGGGCGGATCACGAGGTCAGGAGATCGAGACCGTCCTGGCTAACACGGTGAAACCCCATCTCTACTAAAAGTACAAAAAATTAGCCGGGCGTGGTGTCGGGCGCCTGTAGTCCCAGCTACTCGGGAGGCTGAGGCAGGAGAATGGCGTGAACCCGGGAGGCAGAGGTTGCAGTGAGCCAAGATCGCGCCGCTGCACTCCAGCCTGGGTGACAGAGGGAGACTCCGTTTGGAAAAAAAAAAAAAAAAAAGGAAGAAAGAAAGAAAAATACAGAATGTCATATTACTGTTCTAAAGAATTAGCAGAGAACATAGAAAAAGTTCAGGTTTTAGGGTCGGATGGCCTGGCTTGAGCCCTATTTCGCCATTAACTTACTAGATGCATGACCTTGGTTAAAGCCTCCATTTCTATATCTGAGTTTACTTATCCCACCACTCAGCATGTGATTTTTAAATATGCTAATCTATATTAAATGTTTATTATAAAGTCTACCACAGAGTAAATACTCAATAAATGGTGGCAAATAGTGTTAACAAATTTTAAAAATGGCTCTGTTTCTTTCTCCTATCCTTCCCAGAGTTAAGTACCTTTAGCTACTTACCAGAAAGAATTATGGATAAGTCCTAACAGTCTCATTTATCTACGATGTCTTTATAAAAGGCTTTCAGTAATAAAAATGATTCATTTTTTAAAAAATGAGAGAATAGGAAGAAAATTGTCCTAGCAAACTCGTCTAGTCTTTCTCCATTTCCTCTTCCATAAAAAGGAGTGAGAACACCTATCAGGGTTGTGTAGATACAATTGGCTCATATATGTAAAAATAATTCATAAATTATATGAGACAGTATAAGTTTAAGATTTTTATTTTTTCTTTGGGATAAAAGTTACTGAAGAAGTAAAAAGAAAAGTAGTTTTAAAAATGAGAAAAAAGAACACTCATTAACTGTCTCATCAAAAATATCATTTCTGTCTAATTTTATCCTTATTACTGAAGGTCGATCTATACCTGTATCAACTTTCTTTAAAATTTATCAATGGCAGTGATAAATTATGAGATTAAAAATATATTAACTACTGAGAAAGATGAAACCGTTATCATTTTATTGTCTCATTTCTTTATAATATAGTTTCCCAGGTAATTTTGAGGAAAAGAAAATCACCTAAACCGCCAAAGGGTCTTGCCTGCCAGCTGCTATAGTTACATTTTGGAGTAGACATTTGACTAGCATTCAGCCTCCAAAAGAGTCAGTGGCATCTGCAGTATATTCTAGAATTAGTATTTTAAAATAATGTGTACTGTTGCTTAGTGTTTTATATGGGATAGAGACATTTATGTCCAAGAGATATTATAGAAGCACTGATTGGACTTCTAAAATAAACATCAGTAGGTGAGGTTTCTGATATTGCCTTTTCATAGTTTCATTGCTCCGAATGCCACAGTATATAACACTGTCAAAAATTAAACAAAACAATTATTTAACTAGGCTTTGCATATGTAGTGAAACCTGGCAAAGTGAACATATCTATAAAAAATTGATTATGTGTTTATGTGTGTCAGTATATGTGTGTGTGTGTAGCTAAGACTCATTACAAAAGGCTATCTTGGGGTATATGTAGAATATAGGTGGTTTTTCTAGGTAGGTCTTGGGTAGGACTCACTTTGCAAAGCTGATGATACTATGATAGCCTATACTTAAGACTTGAATGTTTATGTATTGTAGTTTATTTATTCAGTGGATTTGTTTAAACTCTCACTCCTTCTTTATAAAAAGAACAGTTTTCCTGGGGGAGAAAGAATATTATTAGCATAAAAATTAGAAGGTGTAATGAGCTAAAAATAGCACAGTGGTTAAAAGAGTGGGTTCTAAGATCATACCACCTGGGTCTCAGTCATGCTCTGCATGTGGTAGATGTGTGACTTTAGGCAAGTTTCTTCACTATGTTGTGCCTCAGCTCTCTTATCTTTAAACTCTGGTTGCATGTACACACAAACTTTTATTGAATGCTGAAGTTTAATATTTAAACTGAGTGATTAAAGCTAAGAAACATTGAGGAAATAATAAGACTCAGTAGAATAATTTATATATGTGCATAAACTTTTTGTGCAACCAATGTGATGTATTTTTGCTTTCTGGTAAGAAGGCAATAGTTTATTCTACTTTGCTAAAAGTAGGATTTTCAGCTGGTGTCAACTTTAGTCCTAGAATAATTTATTTTAGGAGTGAAGGTAAAGTTAATATCCAGTGGTGGCATGCTTAGTTTACCAGTGTGTTCGTATACAAAATGTTTATTATAGTAAGCTTTCAGAAGTAAATCTCAAGTCAGAGTTAATTCTTTCCTCTATATTTGCATTTTCTTCTTTCTGTACCATTTAGTGAATGCTATAAGTCAAATGGCTTAAGTTGTTGATATCCCTTTTAAAACATCATCTATAATGTAACAAAGTTATTTTCTTCTTATTGGTTTCACAAATATCTACATTAAATGAAAGGTAAGCTCCTATGTATTGTCTCTGTGTGCTCTATACTATCTGGGAATTGTGTTACATTTCCCAGGCACTTTTTCCTTTAAGGTGTTAACAGTCTACTCCCAGATTGGGCAAACTCCTGCCCATGGGCCAAATCTGGCCCACTGCCTTCAGGCTAAGTGGTCTTTATTAAATTGTTAGAAAAAAAATCAGAAGAAGAAAAATATTTCATGACACTTAAAATTACATGAAATGCACAATTCAGTATCCCTAAGTAAGTTATTATTGGAACACAGCCATGCTTATTCCTTTACATATTGTCTATTGTCTATGTATGCTTTGGTATGACAACAGCAAGATGAATAGTTACAACAGATATTTCTGTTGAGCCATATTTGGCTCACAAGACCTAAAATAAGAAAATGCTGCTCATCCCCTATCTAGCTTAAACATATCCCAGAAAGAATGGAAGATTAGCATTCCATCAAAATCATAGTAAAGGTTCTACCAAGCTGAGAATATGCTGGTATTTATTTGATGACTGTGGAATATTCTTCCATTTCAAGACAAGATAGGAAAAAATAAAAAAAGACCAGTTCTTTTTTTTTTCTACTCTTCTATTTCAAGACAAGATAGAAGAAAAAAAAAAAGTTCAACTAAGAAACTTCACTTAACTGTTTCTCATCTTAAGTATTTTTCCATTAGTTTGACCCAAATAAGTGTAAACATATTTGGTTACTGTATTCTAAATCCTACATGGACACAAGTGAGAAATTCAAGCAATAGAGACAAAACCCTAAACCTGCCCCATATTCCAGGCAGTTGTTGACATGTTAATGTCTGTCGGGCTCACACCTCTTCTGGGAAGGTGGAGGAGGAAACTCCTCCTGCAGGAGGAACTGCCATGTTGGTTACCAGTTAACATTCATTAACTCACCTCCTCCTATTCCAGGCGTTACTCTCAGTATTGAGGATACAGATATGAGAGGGAAAGTAATGTCTTCGCTCCCATGGAACTTAAAACACAATGGAGGAGACAAAAATAAACGAATACATAAGGAAATGTTGAACAGTGCTATGAAAACATAGGCATAAAAAAATGTACAGTTTCACTTACCTGAGGTACATAGAGTAGTCAAATTTATAGAGACAGAAACAGAATAGTGGTTGCCAGGGGCTTGGGAGAACAAAAGAGTTGTTTAATGGATATGAAACTTCAGTTTTGCAAGACGAAGAGTTCTGGAGATGGATGGTGGTGACAGTTGAACAATAATATCAATGCACTTAATACCACTAAGCCGGACACTTAAAAATAGTGAAGATGATAACTTTTGTGTTATGTATATTTGACCACAATAAAAACACTGGAAAAAAATGCTAGAGATAAAGAGATTGTTCTTAAAGCTTCCATAATAGGGAGGGGAGAAAAAGATCACCTACAAAACAACAACAACAACAAAATCATCCAATTTCTCAAAAGGAACATTGGATGCTAGAAAAGAATAAAGAAAAACTGTATTCAAAATTCTGTGCTAAAATTATTTTCAACTTAGTCTTCTATACTCAAATTATTAACTCTTTGTGGAGGTAGAATAAGTTCTTTTCAGACAAAAAAAAAACATACATGCATGCAGGCGTACATATCGTAAGGTATAATTATGGTCAATGGCTAAGTGGCTGTGATTTATTTTAATGAATTTTCAGTTTTTAAAGTATTTTGAATAGGTAATTTATTCACATGGTTCGAAAATCAGAATGTCTAAAAAGCTATATGGCAAAACCCCTCCTCTTGTGCTAACCTCCGTGTCTATTCTCAGTTTGTTCCCACTGCTCCTTCCCAGAAGTAACCACACTATTGTTGGATCTCAGGCATATTTCTAGAGTATTTCTGTACATACATATGCAAATTTAAAGATACTTTTTTTTCCTCCCTCTCCCCTTCCCTCAAATAGTTGGTTTAAATAGGGTAGGTAGGCAAGGACTCTCTAAGGCATAACAGGAAGATGCAGCCATGTGAAGATTTAGGAGAAGAACATTCCAGGCAAAGAATGAAACAAGAGGCTCCAAGACAGGAACAGATACCATGAGTTTAAGGATCAGATGGAAGACCAAAGTGCTCTATGTAGCAGGGATCTAGGGGAGGGAACGGGAGGAGAAAAGGGAGAAAGGGAGAAGGGGAGGAAAGGGCCAGTGACTCATCCTAGAATGTTAGTTGATAGATGTCCAACCATGTGTTCATTGAGAAACTGCCTGCCATGGTAGCCATCCCTGCCCCTACCCCATAAGGATCATATAATACTTTGACCTCAAAAAGCATCCCATTGACCACCATTCATGCCAGGAAAAGATCTGCTACAGAAAACCCCCACCCCTACTGCTGAACATTCCTTTCACTTTTGAAGTGGCCCCAAACCACTTACTTGCTCCCTTGAAGCTAACCAGGGAATGCCAAATGTGCCTGAAGACCAAAGAGAAAGTTGCTTCTGTTTCCAAAAGTCTCACCTTAATAAAATGTTTCCCAATCAGAGATTCTTTGTATTTCCTCTTTTTACCCTATAAAACTTACTTTCCTTTCTACCACCTTAGAATTCCTGCTGCAAAGTGATAACAGATGGATTCCCTTGCCTAGTTTATGAACAAACAATTGCTGCTAATTTTGTCTCTGACACAGTTTTGTCTTTGACATCATGAAACCATTAGTTACACTTTTGGTCTAAGTATGGGTCCCCACCTTACCCCAGCTCCTAAGACAGTGATGGAACAGGAGCGGGAGAAATCAACCAATGCCACTTTAATTTCTTTTATTTTATGTATTTCTCATGCTTTTAAAAATCTATCTTCCAGTACTATTTTCAAATACTTATTTGATTTTAGCTCCAAAATTGGCATTTAGAGGAGTTTTTTCAAACTAAAAACCTCTATTTTGTCCAATATATGACTAGAAATAAATTTTCAAAACTTTCCACTGCTTTATTTAAATAGTTCTCAGATGTGATTTCCATAAAGTAACATTATGACTCAGCATGCATATTTAGATAAATTATGATGATTTCTTTAAAAATTCTAATTACAGTTTAAATAACCTAATTGCTATTCAAAATCAGGCACATTATATACCCAATTCAATGTACTTTTTAAAAACATTGCCAAGGATTATAATAAATTATAATGTATAGTGCATAATTTCACCTTAATTATGCCCTTCTGTGATTGGTTTTCAGATTCACTATATCTGTTATCTTTATAAACCATCTTATTCTGCCACAGTATTTTTTACTTTATAAAAAGGTAATGCTTAAAAAGATGAGACTTGGAATTTTTAAATGTTTTTATTACAAAAGTAATGCATACTTAAAAAATGTAAAACAATATGGAAGTGGGTAACGTAGGTGACATTTGTCCCTTTCTCCACCAATGTGATTCCCATGAAGTAATCAAGATATGATATGCATGTGTATATGTACATTCTTATGTGTGTTTTTTAAAAAGTCAGGAGTAGGGCTCTGAAAGCATAGCCAACCGCAAAATTAGAGGGTACACAGTACACACAAGACTTCCCTCACTTTTGACACCAACTCTGTAAGGATACCAAAACCACTCTCAGTTTCAATAATTCTCTGGAAGAACTCACTGAAAGCTATTATACTCATGGTTATGGTTTATTACTAGGAAAATATGTAGTTTAAAGTCACCCAAGGGACAAAACTTATAGGACAAAGTCCAAGGAAGTACCAAACATAGGGTCTCAATTGTCATCTCCCCATGGATTCAGGAGGCATTACTTTCCCAGCATTGATGTGTGACATAAATGTGAAGCATTGCCAACCAGGGAAATTCACCCATGTCTCACTATTCAGTTTTGATCGGAGTCCTGTTACGTAGGCACGATTGATAGATTCATTGCCCATGTGATTGATCTCAGCTTCCAGATTGTGTTACATATCATGACACAAGACCCCTACTCTGAATATACACATTGCTAGGTTTTCTGGTGTGGCCAGCCCCCACTCTACATCAGGCTATTAGACTATCTGCTGGGTGAAATTCCAGGCAAAAGAATTTCCTATCAGGCCTGATATTAGAGATTACTTCCCAGAAGCCGAGGTCAAAGGTCAGATTTCCTTTCGGGCAAGGTTAAATTCTTTACTACACAGGTTTTCAAGTGAAGAAACCATTAGAGGAGTAAAATCATCCATACTGAGTATTTTCCATTGATTTCAGACATTATTCCACGATTTTTAAGAGGAGGGAACCAGTCATTGTCTTCTTGACACCATTCAGAGTATCAGAGGTGTTAAGGGAGAATAGATACTATTCATTTTATGTTTTTGTTGTTTCTCACTATAGTTCTCTATTTCACTTGATTCCCTTTCTCTCCTGCTCTGCCTTCCCCAATCCACTGCTGTTAGATTTGGTTACTAAAACATCACTGCAAGTTAGGAATCAACCTCTACAAATGCCCATGGAGGTATATAAAGGAGGGAAGCTTCTCTTTGACACTGATTGAACATTGACATACCTTATTTGCATATTAAGATAAAAGAGTATCTTTCTTTTCCAGAAAGGAAGTATGTTCCTTTCCTTCTCCCCTGACTCCCCACTTCTCTCCTGAAATGTATGGACCTCTCGGCAATTCTTTCATTTTCCCATTTTTGGTAGAACATGCAGAGAAATAGCTCTCTGCCACAGTAAAGTCAACAGTGTGTGCATGTTGAAACTTGGCACTGACTCTTAGTCTCAGAGCCAAGTAAACAATACAGAGTGCTAGTGATGGTGGTACTTTAAAGTATATCGCCTCATCTAAAGGAGCAGTGGCTACTTAGCCCTAGCTGATGGTTACATAGTGAGAATGAGAAAGCGGTTTCCCAAAAAAGGTAGAAAATCTGAATCACTCTATTTATTCATTCACTTATTCAGGTGAGATTCACATAGCATAAAATTAATCATTTTGAAGTGAAAAATCAGCAGCATTTAGTACATTCACAGCGTTGTGCAACCACCACTAGCACCTAGTTTCAAAACATTTCCACCACTGCAAAATAAAATCCCATACTCACTGAGCGGATCCTCCCCATCCCCTCTTCTGGCAACCACTCTGGAAACTACCAATCTACTTTCTATTTCTATGGATTTACCTATTCTGGATATTTCATAGAAATAGAATCATACAATATGTGACCTTTTGTGTCTGGCTTTTGAAATCACTTCATTTAAAATATGGTCACTGCTAAAAAACAATTAACAACAACACTGAGTTAGCTAAATATACACATTTTAGGGTGGATATGGCCCCCTTTCTGCTAGCCAATAGTCTCTGCCCTGATCCAAAGAGCGGTAGAAGGGGCCATAGCTAGAAGTTTTATTAAGAGAAATGGGCCTGCCAAAGATGTTCTGTAGGAGATCAAGGAGTTGAGGCAGGTCACCATCGATTCATAAATCCAAATGAGGACACAGAATCCTGTAAAGAGAACACCTAAAAACATGGTTTAGAAGGGCAAGCCAAGTCCAGTATTCCAAAAAGTGCTAAAAATTACAGAATACAGAAAAGCACTGTAATGTGGGCAATCAAGTAGACTCCAGACTTGAAAAGCATACAGGAAAAATGGAAAGTTGTGGGGCAAAATTAAAATGTTAGGCATGACACCAATTGGAGTTCAACTTGATGCACAGGTTTGCTTTGATACTCAATATTTTAGTGTCAGTTACTCCATCAGAAAAATAAGTATAATCACCTATTGTGCTAGATTGTTATTAGAATTATAGACATTGTTTTTACAATATCTAGTAAAAAGATAAAACTCATTAAGTAGGAATTATTATAATGAGGACAATATCAACAGGGTTTACACGACTAATCTTAGGAAAGACATTTGCCCTCTGGACAGCTTTTCTATTTCCTACTGGGTAAAGGTGGAATATAATGCACAGGTAAGTCAGATACTCAGAGGGTTTAGTAACTCCTCATGGATACACCCTTATAGGGACAGAGATGTGTCTTACAAAAGTATACAAAGTAGCATTGCCACCAGCTTAGGGAGAATGACCATGGACCTTTAAATTAAATCTAAAATAATTTACTCCCTGGAAAGGATGACAGATGGACAGTGTAGCCCTCTGTAATCCTTTTTAGTTGTAAAAATGGCAGTTAGTGAAGAGATTAAGCCTGTCAATGTCACACTGCCAAATGGACATATCTTAAATTTAGAAGGACAACTTCTGTATCAGACTAAGTAGGTCAGATTTTTCTACCTTTTTCCTAAAGTCATCTTTGCTATGCAGAAGGAGAAGATTCAGAGGGGTTTGTTGGTTTGACAATGCTTATATGTAATTTTTTCAAATACTTTTAGTAATTAACACAACTTTCAAGAGTAAGAGAAAAATAAGTCAATACTTTCCATAACACAATCAACATTTTAGTCTATTTAAACCCAATTTTGCATCATAAAGAAAGAGACTTAAACGCGTAAGACCAAGTCTTAGCTATTATATAATCTTAAATAATGTCCATATTTTTGAAAGGCAATGAGCTCTGCACAATGTGAACATTAATGAAGAATAGGACCATCTTTTATTCCTTAAAACTATTTTCTCAATAGCTTTGTATGTATTAATGATAAAAAGTTTAACATCCTTTCAAAAATGAAATGTCTCTGTAAGTAATTGAGTTAGTCAAGGGGAAAAAGGTCTTATTTTTTGGAACTCAATATATGAAAGTAAAGAAAATTAAGTCTGAAACTGACATTTGTCTCCTAAAAATGAAATGAATGGATTTTCCATATGAAGTCTTTTCCCTGGGGTTATTAATGGTCCTTGACTTGAGTGGAAGTAAGTGTGACATTGACAAGAAAGATGTGAAGCCTTTGAGATAAATTTGGATCCAATAATTTTAGGAAGTAAGCAGTGAGGGGTGTGCCTGGTCCTACTATACCCTGGGCCTCAGAAAGTTAATAAGCCTATTGACTTGGGCAGGGGTAGGGCCAGAATTATGGAGAGTGGACCCTTAGTTTGGAATTGATTGATTGATAGCTTGGTTAAGCTAGTATTTGACATGGGAGAAGGGAGTAGAAACCATTTAAATCAGTGTTTCCAAAAATATAGCACTTACTACTGGTGGTAAACAGATCAAGTTAGGTCAAATATGCATTATATATTAGTGTTTTTAACTACTCTATGACAAGTAATACTGATTTTCCATTTATAATGTGATATATAATTTTCTTTTTATGTGGATTTAGTTAAATGAAAAAAGTGTTTAATTCAAAAAACAATTAATGGTAAAATTTTATGTAACATGACAAAAATTATGAAGGTTGTATATAAGTGACTAATTTGTAGAAAATTAATTTCAACTAAAAAAGCAGATAAATTCCTTAAACACATATAATCCTTAGGGACACTGGGCATTGGAGTTGACATTCTGAGGCTCTTGGCTAAAGACCTGTTAGAGCCTGGTACAGTGGCTCACACCTGTAATCCCAGCACTTTAAGAGATCAAGGTGGGAGAGAGGATCACTTGATGCCAGGAATTCAAGGTTACAGTGAGCTGTGATTGCATCACTGCACTCTAACCTGGGTAACAGAGCAAGACCCGGTTTCTTAAAATTAAACAAACAAACAAACAAAAAAGACCTATTGTAACTACCAGATTTGGGGGGCAGGGTCTGGATTTTAGTTTTTTTCTCACTGTGTTTTTCATGTTAAATCCTGTGAACATAGCCTAACAGATAGTAAACAGAAAAAGACACTATTTCACTAGTATCCAGGATGAAGATGAATAATGCAAAGAATAAAAAAAGATCAACCCAACTGTGAGGACTTTGAGTAGAAAGAGTTATAATAAAAGTTGGTTACTATATGAAATACAGATATTATATTTACTTGGTGTATTTATGCCATTATTTAGAATAGTACCTAAAGTAAAAAAATTTGTCTCCCAATTAAAAACTATTTTAAATTTAATTTGATTTAATTATATTAATCTTAGTGCAAGAACGAATTCACTTGGTTTCAGACACCCACAATATAATAGGACTTTCAAAAGCTGGCTGAGGGCATGGGCATAAAGGAAGGAGAGCATGAATGTAGTGGTATATAGCATGCAGGTCCATGATGGAGGTAGAGTGCAAAGCTGGATCTGAGCTTCCTGACAGGCAAAACAAGTACAGACATGTAATTAGTTACAACAGGGATCAATAACTATGGCTCTTGGGTCAAATCTGTTCTGTCACCTGTTTTTGTAAATAAATTTTTACTGGAACACAGCGATGTTCATTCATTTCTATATTGTCTATGGCTGCTTCTCCATTACAATGGCAGAACTGAATAGTTACTACAGAGGCTGTACGATCTGCAAAGCTGAAAATACCTACTACCTCACCTTTACAGAAAAATTTGCCAACCACTAAGTTACATTACAGTATCTAGAAGTTTTTTTCTTTTCTTTTTTTTTTTTTTGAAACGGAGTCTGGAGTGCAGTGGCGCAATCTCGGCTCATTGCAGCCTCCGCCTCCCAGATTCAAGCCATTCTCCTGCCTCAGCCTTCCGAGTAGCTGGGATTACAGGCACGCGACCCCACGCCCAGCTAATTTTTGTATTTTTAGTAGAGACGGGGTTTCGCCATGTTGGCCAGGATAGTTTTGATCTCCTGACCTAGTGATCCTCCCGCCTCGGGCTCCCGAAGTGCTGGGATTACAGATGTGAGTCACCACGCCGGGCCTCTAAAAGATTTTTAAACCTTCATTGATTCAGAAAAAAACACAACTTTTCAAAATTACTAAAAGCCATCGATATTGATTAAAATATTTATAAATATTGCTATGTTTGCCATTAATGTTTATTTCATATTTCTGTACTAATGGATAGCAGAGATAGGTAAGATTGTAAATTTCCATTTACCAAAGCCCATCTCTTATTAGAAATAAAACACTGTATGTTCAATACTTCCCTAAAATATTCTTAAAAAGAGAGCTTCTATAGGCCCAAATCTAAAATAAATTGATTACCTAGCAGCTATGTCTTCCACAAGATTTTTATGTACCTTTTAAGGTGCATCACATTAATCATTAATTTCAGGAGAAAAGAAATCTCTCAATAAAGGACATTTCCTTATGCTCAATCTTTCGTAACGATAAATAGCAACTGTTATATAATAGACTTTAGGCCAATACACTGAAAGAAATGGATGAGAATGTCAATAAAGCTCCTTTAAAAATCTTTCTATCCACTTAGATTTCAGAGAAGGCAGGAAAAGAAGTAAAGGGAGGCAGGCCCACCTATGAATAATGATGAATGTTCATTCTTAGCTTTGACTCCTAGGAACCTAAATTTGAAGCCCATCTTACTACTTCCATTCCCACTTATTTAAGAGTGAACCTGATACATGTTGGATAATCTGATTCTCTCTCCACGGAATTGAGAAGAGACTTGGGAAGTTGGCGCTGAGGCACATCAATGGTAGTACTCAGAAGTGCTGGACTGAGGAAGGTGCCTCAATATCTGCTGCTGAATGAGACACCTGGAGCTGCCTCACTGATGCCTGAGTGTTCAGATCTTCCTTAGATCCAATGAAATTTTCCACATTTTCCTAATTCCTATTACCTGTATTGAGCAGAACTTTAATTAATCCGTGTAGTATCTTTTCAAATACTTGTGGATAGCTATCATATCCTTCCAAACTTCCCTTCTTCACATGAAATATCCTTACTTTATTCAGTCTCTCCTCAAAATAATATTACTTGAGGGAAAAAATCCCAATAACAAATAAATTTTTTAAAATAAACTTTAATCCCAAACCAAACTCTAACCTTAAAATCTGGCATCCAGAACTTCATACAATGCTTCTGGCATGGTGTGATTAACTCAGAGTAAGACAGGACTATCATCTCCCTTATTCTAAACACTATACTTCTACTAATACAGCCATTAGTCATCCTTAGCTGGAAATTATTTATAGACACATTATACTATCAACCCTATATTTAATTAAATCAATCATCTTTTCATAATTAAAGCTGACAATCATGTCATCATTTTTAGGCCAAGGTAAATAAACATATTTATTACTAGCATATTTGATTGTATTAATTGATTCATGCTTCCAGTTTACCAAAGTATTTTTAGATTAATAACAAATATAAGTAATTATATAGTTCTTTATATTAATCATAAGTTATTTTATAGTTCCTATGTGCTAGAAAACATGTTAAGCATTTTACACATTTTATATCATTTCATTTTCACGACAGCCCTAGGAAACATTTGATTATTTGTCTCCAGCTTCCTTCATTCCCCACTCCCCACCAGGGAAAGTGTCTTTCAGTTGAAGCTTGTTTTCTTAGTGGAGGTGAATAGCAATCTTGCCATAATGGAATCGCATAAATAATTATGTATAAAGAAATAAAAAAATATTTTAAAAAACGTGCTTGTGTTCACACTGTGTACAAACAGATAAGAAAAAGAACGGATAGGAAGGTCATAATGGAAAGAATAATGAGGTTGAGATGGATAGGAAGGTCGTAATGAAAAGAATAATGAGGTTAGGTAACTCGACCCAAGTTACAGAACAAGTGGGAAAGCTGGATTTTAAAACCCAATCAGTCTCCAAAACCTACGTATTTAACTACTATGTTCTGGTGCCTCCAACATTTAACCAAATAATTACTTCCTAAATTATCATTTTTCGTGATCATCAAATCTTCTAAACAGATTTTCTATATCTTCGTTTCTATCATTGCTTTAAAAGGAAATACTGCATAGAAGAGCCAGTGGCAATCTGCTAGAAACTTTAAGTCTGTTTTTTTTTTTTTCTATTAATCTGGTCCTTTTTCTATAGCAAATTTAATTTATTGAACTATTATATACCCTATATTTCTCAAATTTTTCTTTAAAGATGAAATAATTCCATATCAAATCTTTGTTTATATGCAGCTACATTATGCCTATATTTTTTCCTTGAAAGGGCAGTCAAGCTAGTCTGTCAACAAAAGGAAAGTTGTATAGCCTTTTTGGAAAACAATTCAGAAGTATATACCAAGGCTCACAAAAATGTCCTTATTCAATCATCCTACTAAATCTCCCTTCAAAATAGATACTAAGGAAATAATTTTTTTGTAAATAAATATTTCCTAGATTTTGGACACTTTTATACTTCTTATATTTCTGCGTTCCATGTTATTTAGAAAGGTAAAAAAGCAAACAGTAAAAATAGAATTACAAATAATAGCACAAAACAAACTACTTCAATGACTTTTAAATGATGTTTTTGAAAAATGTATATTTATTGACATAGGCAAAATGCTCATGACAAATGAAATATAATGATGCAAATGTATACAGTGTGATCTAATTTTATAGCTACATTTAACATGTATTATATGTATGTGTAATAAGTAACTACAGCCTATGCTTCATTCTTCTGGATTTCCCTACTGAGCATTAAAATCTTTTGCCAGGAATTGTCACCACTACTTTTCATCAGGCACTATTCTCAGGTGGCTAACTAATGTTCTGAGGAAAGCCTACAAGCCCTCAATAGCTCCCAAAACTAAGCCCTTCCTCCCCTAAAATTTTCTAGATATCTATTTTTATGTATTTTTTTCATGATGATGTGTTGTCTGGACCCTACAGTTTAAGCTATTGAAAAGTTTAGAAAATCACTGTGTCCCAAAAATGTCTGAACTCTCAAACATTTGTTATGAGGCATGCCAGTGAAATTGTAATATATATTTCCACAGGATTTGCACTCACTCACTGGAAACTGAGAATCTCATATATTATATGGTATTGGTCAAGAAACAATATAGAGGTTCTATCACCAAGACATTTGTTCACATGCCTCAAAGATATTGCCTGATATAATTATATCATATATTTAAGTGTGCTTTTCCCAATAATCTATAACACTAATCATTTTTTTCATGAGCCATTGGAAGGCAGCAAGAATCACTAGGATTCCTTAGCGCATCTTTTAAATTTCATAGAGCTCATAGAAATAATAAACACCATCTTAATCTTTTCTTTCTTAGCCTTAGAAATATGAAATATCCTGCTGTGTATACTTGTATAGGTTGTTTACTGCTTGACAGCACAACATCTAAGGGAGTGTTATTTACTTCCTAATTATTATACATTTGTATAAAATGCTTCAATATAAATAAATTATTGAATGAGGAAAGTTATTTTATGTTCTTTTATGAAGTACAGAAGCTGAAGTAAGGGGGTGACTTTGTCTAATTTGCAAAAAAAAAAAATAAAATGAAGGTATTATATGAAGTCTCAGCAGCCCTAACACTAATTGCAGTCACTTTCAAGTTCAACACTGAATGGTTCTAGCTAATACTTGGGTAACTAACAGAGGCTGGGTTGATGTTGAATGATACTGCCAGCCAAGAAGGGGGAAAAGAATAAGAGAAGAATTACACTTCAGATTTGGAAATATGAGACTAGAACTCAAGACAAAAGGGCTGGAAGACTAGACAGTTGAATTTATGAAAGTGCATGAGACTGTCCAAATACATGTGAGCCAAGAATATACTCACGGGTAAGAAAATCAGTAACCCAGCCCTGAACAGGCAGAAAGTGGGAAAGTAGTCAAAAATACCTATAGAAAATGGTTAGAATACTAAGAGAATTAAAGGAAATATTATCACAGAGACAGAAAACTCTTAAGAGAAATAGGTGGTCAATATGATCAAAAGAAAAGATACATCACAGCATTATCTTTGATAAATAGACGCTCTTGGTACCTGCAACAAGAGTAAATTCTAGGGTCGGAATCGTATGGGAATCAGATTGCAAAGAGTTGAGGAGAGAATGGAAGGTAAGTAACTAGAGGTAATAAAGGTAGACTAGACACTTAAATCTGATTTTGAATGAAGAACAGAGATTATTATTTCAAGTGCAAATTCTTATAGAAAAAAATGCTACATTAGAAATTAATTTCCTAGGTCAGTCTATAGTATTTATTTAGTCTATAATGAAAGCCATAAACTGCAGATTGATAATTAATATTAGAGGAAAGAAATGCTGTTTGCAACACTTGTAATAAAACAAAATTTAAAAATAATATACTTCAATAACAAACTGCTTTTTTTCTAGGTCTCGAAGGCTGGTAGCTGAGGAAAATAGACTTAAGTAAAGGATTACAAGTTGGCAGATAGTTTTAATGTAAGGATTCTAATATGAACTACCAGGAATGTTTAAGGTCTTACATTTTTTTGTTTCATTTGGTCTAATTTTACTTCAAAACAAATAATTATGCTTTACTTTGACTCTTCTATGTCACTGGCATTAATCTTATAGTTTTCAGCTCTGTTTGCAGTCTCTTTTTAGGTATTTGCGAACAAGAGAAAGAAAGAGAAAAGAAATTGTAGTTTTAAAAAGTGTATATAGAAGCCAATCTCAATTTTAGTGTGAAGAGAAGTATCTGTGATTCAAAGGCATTTATTTTTTAAAGTATATTCTGGGCCGGGCACGGTGGCTCACACCTGTAATCCCAGCACTTTGGGAGGCCGAGGCAGGCGGATCAGGAGGTCAGGAGATCGAGACCATCCTGGCTAACATGGTGAAACCCCGTCTCTACTAAAAATACAAAAATTAGCCGGGCGTGGTGGTGTCTGTAGTCCCAGCTACTCAGGAGGCTGAGGCAGAAGAATGGTGGGTGAACCCAGGAGGCAGAGCTTGCAGTAAGCCCAGATTGTGCCACTGCACTCCAGCCTGGGCGACAGAGCAAGACTCCGTCTCCAAAAAATAAATAAATAAATAAATAAATAAATAATAAATAAATAAAGTATATTCATACACAATGTGACCAAACCTTGAAAGAGTCTATCCCAATTTTTAATTTAAAGTAAAAGGGCAAAAGAATCAAAATGGTGAGAGAAGTCCAAAGTTCCAAGGGGTCAACAGTGAAAAATCAGTGAGAAGAAAATTAGGGCTATATTCAATTGACCAATAAATTAAATTTATTTTCCAAGAAAGATGAGTTTTATAAGCTCTTACCATGAGATTGTCATAAAATACTTCAATTGCCCACTGGGAAAGGTGATGAAACCTAGTTAGCTACATTGTCATAGACAGAAAAGTCAACTGTCTAAGGGAACTTCTTGTTGGACCTTAATGGTTTTACAGCTGCAGGAAAACTGGACTCATTTAAATAAAAAATTGAGCATAGATAGTAGTATATGGAAGACCATATATATAAGGCATTACAAAGAAAACAAAAAAGCTGACCAAAGTGAATTATTTAAAATCTGCAAAAACTGTATTCTGTGAATATCTCAATCTGAAAGGATGTAGTGGGCCTGAAAATGTTAACATCAACAGTTGCTACAGGGTGTATAACAGAAATATTAAGCTAACAATTAAAAATAGTCTGCCTTACTATTCCTACCCACCCTCCACTGGAAAAAGACACCTTCAGGCCCAGATTCCTTCACAGTTGAATTCTACCTGCTGTTTAAGGAACAAATAATGTCAGTTCTACACAAACTCTCAGAAAATAAAAGAGAAAATACATTTCAATTCATTTTAGAAGAGCAGCATTGTGCTAATCCTAAAACCAAGCAAACACATGATAGAAAAAAGTCACATACTACTAACTTTCATGAAAATAGATGTAAAAATCTTTAACAAATATTAGCAAATTGAGTCAAGCAATATATAAAGTGATACTATATCTTGACCACTGGTGTCTATTTTAGGAATGCACAATATTAACAATCTAACAACAACCATATGATCATCTCAATAGATACAGAAAAAGCATTTTACAAAATTAAAACCTATTCTTGATAAAACTTTCTACCAAGCCAAGAGAAAAGGGAACTTTTTTAATCTAACATAATATTTAATTGTGAAAGATTAAATACTTTTTCCCTAAGATCAGGAACAAGGCAGGCTATTCACTCTTATCCTTATATTCCACACTGTAGTTGAAGTTCTAGGCAAGGCAATTATATTTTTAAAATATTTTCAATTTCTAATTGTTCTTTACATACATATATATATATAAAATAATTGATTTCTGTATTAACCTAGTTTCCTTTGATACAAGGTTCTTGATGCAACAGCATCAAAAATGATAAAATACCTAGGGATAAATTTAACAATAATGTGTAAAACATGTACATTAAAAATTACAAAACATTTCTTACAGAAATTAAAGAACCCCTACTTACATGGGAAAATGTATTATGTTTATAGATTGAGAAAGCTCAATATCATTAGTGTGGATTCTCCCTAAATTGACCTACAAGCTTAACACAGCCTCAAACAAAATCCTACCAGGCTTTTTGTTGTTGAAATTGATAGGTTGATTCTATAACTAATATAGAAACACAATGAAGAACAAAGTTAGAAAACTTCCACTGGTATAAAAATAAAAATATAAATCAATAAAACAGATGAAATCCATAAATACAACCACACATATATGGACAATTGATTGTTGACAGAGATACATAGGCAATTCAAAAGGGAAAGGATAACATTTTCAACAAATGGTGCTGAACAACTAGAAATTTATGTGTAAAAAAGAAACATTGATTATTACTTCACAGCATATACAAAAATTATTCTGAAACAGGTATCATAAACCTAAACCTAAGAAAGAAATCTATCAAACTTCTAGATGAAAATGTGAGAGAAAATATTTGTAGCATTAGTTTAGGAAAATATTTTTTACTTAAGACACCAAAAGCACTGATATGGTTTGGATTTGTGTTCCCATCCAAATCTCATGTTGAAATGTAATTCCCAGTGCTGGACCTGGGGCCAGGTGGGAGGTGATTGGATCATGGGGGTGGATTCTTCATGAATGGTTTAGCACCATCTCTTTAGTGCTGTTGTTGTGATAGAGTTCTCATGAGATCTGGTTGTTTAAAAGAGTGTGGCACCTCCTCCTCTCTATCCTCCTCCTGCTCCCATCATGTAAGACAAGCCTACTTGCCCTTCACCTTCTACCATAATTGTAAGTTTCCTAAGGCCTCCCTAGAAGCAGAAGCCACAATGCTTCCTGTACAGCTTGCAGAACCATGAGCCAATCAAATCTCTTTTCTTCATAGATTACCCAGTCTCCGGTATTTCTATGTAGCAGTGACAGAATGGACTAATACAGAAAATGGTACCATGGAGTGGGGCATTGCTATAAAGATATCTGAAAATGTGGAAGCAGCTTTGGAACTGAGTAACAAGAGAGGTTGGAACAGTTTGGAGGGCTCAGAAGAAGACAGGAAGATGAAGGAAAGTTTGGAACTTCCTAGAGACTTGTCAAATTGTTATGACCAAAATGCTATAGCGATATAGACACTGAAGTCCAGGCTGAAGAAGTCTCAGATGGAGATGAGGAACTTATTGGGAACTGGAGCAAAGGTCACTTTTGTTATGTGTTAGCAAAGAGGTTGGCTGCATTGTGCCCGGGGCCTAGGGAACTGTGGAACTTTGAATTTGAGAGTGATGATTTATGGTATCTGGCAGAAGAAATTTCTAAGCAGTAAAGTGTTCAACATGTGGCCTGGCTGTTTCTAACGACCTATGCTCATTAACCTGCAAAGAAATAATCTGAAACTGGAACTTATATTTAAAAGGGAAGCAGAGTGTAAACGTTTGGAAAATTTGTAGCCTGGCCATGTAGTAGAAAAATACATTTTCAAAAATTCAAGAAGCCTGCAGAAATTTGCATCATTAAAAGGAAGGCAAATGCCGATAGCCAAGACAATGGGAAAAAGCCCTTGATGGCATTTCAAAAACCGCTGCAGCAGCCCCTCCCACCACAGGCCTGGAGCCCTAGGAAGGAAAAATGGTTTTGTGGGCCAGGCCCAGGGCCCTACCGCCCTGAGAAGCCTTGAGACACTGCTCCCTGCATCCCAGGTGCTCCAGCTCCATCCGTGGTTAAAAGGGGACCAGGTATAGTATGGGCTGCTTTTTCAGAGGGGGCAATCTATAAGCCTTGGTGGCTTCCACATGGTGTTAAGCCCGTGGGTGCATAGAGTGCAAGAGTTGAAGCTGGGGCACCTCTGCCTATATTTCATAGGATGTATGGAAAATCTTGGATATCCAGACAGAAGCTGCTGCAGGGACAGAGCCCTCATGGAGGACATATACTAAAGCAGTGCAGAGGGGAAATGTGGGGTTGGAGCCCTCATACAGGGTCCCCACTGGGGCACTGCCTGCTGGAGCTGTGAGAAGACAGCCACTGTCCTCCAGACCTCAGGATTGTAGATCCACTAACAGCTTGCACCATGTGTCTGGAAAACCTACAGACACTCAACACTAGTCTGTGAGAGCAGCCATGGGGGCTGAACACTGTCAAGCCACAGGGGAGGAGCTGTTCAAGGCTTTCAGGGTTCACCCCTTGCACCAGTATGCCCTAGATGTGAGACATGGAGTCAAAGGAGATTATTTTGGAGCCTTAAGATTTAATGACTGCTCTTCTGAGTTTTGGACTTGCACGGAGACTGTAGCCTCTCCCTTTTGGCCAATTTCTCCCTTTTGGAATGGCAGCATTTACCCAATGCCTATACCTCCATTGTGCCTTGGAAGTAGCTAACTTGTTTTTGATTTTACAGGCTCATAGGCAGAAGGAACTAGTCCTGTCTCACATGAGAATTTGGACCACAGACTTTCGAGTTAATGATGGAATGAGTTAAGACTTTGTGGGATTGTTGGGAAGGCAGGATTGTATTTTGAAATGTGAGAAGGCCATGAGATTTGGGAAAGGCCAGGGTAGAATATGGTTTGGATCTCTGTCCCCACCCAAACCTCATGTCCACGTGTAATCTCCAGTGCTAGAGCTGGGGCTTAGTGGGAGGTGACTGGATCATGAGAGTGGATCTTTCATGAATGGGTTAGCACCATCCGTTTGGTGCTGTTCTTGTGATAGAGTTCTCACGAGATTTGGTTGTTTAAAAGTGTGTGGCACCTCCCTGCTCTGTCTTCCTCTTGCTCCCACCATGTAATATGAGCCTGCTTGTCCTTCACCTTCCACCATGATTGTAAATTTCCTGAGGCGTCCCCAGAAGCAGAAGCTACCATGCTTCCTGTAGAGCTTGCAGAACCATGAGCCAATTAACCTCTTTTCTTTATAAATTACCCCAGTCTCAGGTACTTATTTGTAGTAGTGTAAGAATGAACTAATATAAACACAAACGAAAAAGACAAAAAAAATTGATATTTTAAACTTAATAAAAATTTAAAACTTTTGCTTTATAAAAAATACAAGAAAAATTCTTATCCAGACGAAATGGCATAGACTTCTTTCTCTCTGCTCCCCTCTGCTAAATATAATCATAATCCTTGCAATACCACAAGAGACAAGAGATCACCAAAGAAAAAATCTAAAAGGTCAAAAGAGGAACTAGTGTGAGATCCTAGGACCAGAATAATGACACAAGGGAAAGGCATGTTACCTCCCTTCACCCCACAGAAGAAGGCAACCCAGACCTGGTGTTTCCCAAACCTCAACCTAGCGACAGAAGGTAGTCCAGGTAGGACCATTCTATCTCTACAATAAAAGAGTAGTCCTCTGAGGACACTAGATAAGCATGGCACCACTGGCAAAGGGATGGGTCCCAGGGCCCAGTTCAAAACAATCATCCAGGGAAGCACTCTCTGTCCCTTACAAACCCAAGACTTCCCTCCTGCAACTAGATATACCAGAGTGGCAGTGGCATCAGCAATAAGACCTCTGTCACAACAAATCCTCTTTGTCCTCAAAGACCTGAGACTCCCCTTCTGCACCAAGAGACATCAGGCTTCCCAGCATGAGAAAACTTTTACACCCCATCAGCACCAGCAGAGACCAGTGGCAACCCCAGGCAAACCAAGAACAAAATAACATCACAAAGGCTCTAAAAATTAAACTTTCATTGGAAATACAGACCACAAAAGTAGGCCACAAACTTCACACTGAACCTAAGCAGTGTGACTGCCTGCTAAAAGAGAAAAAGAGAGAGAGAGAGAGAATTGAATTAAAATGTAACATACCAAAATATGTAGAATGTAGTTAATGCAGGGTTGAAAGAAAAATTTATTCCCCCAAATATTTACACTGGAAATAGGGAAAGGTCTCAAATCATTAATCTAAGTCTCTACTTCAAGAAATTAGAAAAACATGGTTTAAAAAAAATAGTTAAAAAGAATAAGACCTACTATTTGATAGCACAACAAGGTGACTATATTCAATAATAATTTAATTATATAGTTTAAAATAACTAAATAGTATAATTAGATTGTTTGTAATCCAAAAGATAAATGCTTGAGGAGATGGATACCCTATTCTTCATGATGTGATTATTAGGAATTGCATGTCTGTATCAAAACATCTCATGTACCTCATAAGATTATACACCTACTATAAACTCACAAAAATTAAAAATTAAAAAAAGAAATTAGAAAAACAAAAGCAAACTAAACCCAAAGATAAAATGATGGGAATATTAAAGATATGATCAGAAATCAAGAAAATTGGCAATAGAAAACCAATAGAAAAAAAATTCAGTAAAGCACAAGCCAATAAAATTGATAAAACTCTAGCGAGACTAGCAATAATGAAAAGAGAAAACACAAATCACTACTATGAGGCATGAAACAAGATATATCACTACAGGTCCTGAAGCCATTAAAAAACACAATAAGGGAAAACTACACACAACTTTACACTGATAAATTTTAAAATTTAGAAGAAATGGACCAATTTCTCAAAAGTTACTAGCTGCCAAACTTCAACCAAGATGAAATAGTTTGATTTGTACTATAACTAAAGAAATGAATTAGTAATTAAAAGGTTCACAAAGAGGCCGGGCGCAGTGGCTCATGCCTGTAATCCCAGCACTTTGGGAGGCTGAGGCAGGCAGATCACCTGAGGTCAGGAGTTCGAGATCGGCCTGACCAATATGGAGAAACCCTGTCTCTATTAAAAATACAAAATTAGCTGGGCATGGTGGTGCATGCCTCTAATCCCAGCTACTCGGGAGGCTAAGGCAGGAGAATTGCTTGAACCTGGAAGGTGGAAGTTGCGGTGAGCCGAGATAGCGCCATTGCACTCCAGCCTGGGCAACAAGAGCAAAACTCCGTCTCAAAAAAAAAAAAAAAAAAAAAAAGGTTCACAAAGAAAGAAATCTCCAGGCCCCCACATGGTTTCACTAGAGAATTCTATCAAACATTTCAAAAAGAATTATTGCTAATTTTACATAACCTCTTTCAAAAAACAAGAAAAGAGAGAACACTTCCCATATTATGGGAACAGCCTATATTATGAAGCCCATATTACCTTAATACTCAAACCAGAAAAAGTACAAAAAAGAAAACTACAGGCCAAAATTTGTTATAAACTTAGATGAAAAAGTCCTTACCTACCTATTAGCAAATCGAATAAAACAACATATAAAAAGAATTACTCACCATGACGAAATTAAATTGATTCCAGGTACTCAAGTTTACTTCTGTGTTTGAAAATCAATCAATGCAACTGATCATATCAACAGTATAAAGAAAAACATATATAGTCTTATTAATTGATTTAGAGAAGGCATTTGAGTTTGAAAAACTCTCATGCAGTTAGGGACAAAGGAGAATTAATTCAACTTCATTGAGAGCATCTACAAATAGTCCACAGCTAACATCTTACTTGATGAGACTGCTTGTAGAGAAGGCTAGGATGTTCACTCTTACCACTCTATTTCAACATTACTGGAAGTTCGAATCACTGAAATAAGTCAACAAGAAATAAAAGACATACAGATTGGAAAAGAAGAGATTAAACTGCCTCAATTTGCAGATGACATGATCATCTACATGACTGTCTGGAACTAATAAATGAGTTCAGCAAGGTCATAGAATGAAAGATAAACACAAAAATATCAATTACTTTTCTAACAATAAACATGTTAAAACCAAAATTAAAACCACAATGCCATTTATTATTGCTCCAAAAAATGTAATACTTAGAAATATTAATACAGTTTGGATAATTTACCCCCACCCAAGTCTTATGTTGAAATGTAATCCCCAGTGTTGGAGGTGGGACCTGGTGGAGGGTATTTGAATCATCGGGTTGAATCCCTCATGAATAGCTTGGGTCACTGCCTTTGTGAACTCACTCTGAGTTCACAGGAAATCTGGTTATTTAAGAGTGTGGCACCTCCCCTACCCCACCATGCTCTGGTTTTCCACATGTGATATGTGAGTTCCCACTTTGTCTTCTTCCATTAGTAAAAGCTTCCTGAGGCCTCACCAGAAGCCATGTTTCCCGTACAGCCTGCAGCACCATGAGCCAATTAAACCTCATTTGTCTACAAATTATCTAGTCTCAGGTATTTCTTTACAGCAATGCAAAAACAGCCTAATATGTATAGATATGTACTTAAAACATGCACATAGTCTATATACTAAAAAATTACAAAATACTGATGAAAGAAATCAAAGAATTAAATAAATAGAAGAACACTGTTTTCATGACTTTGACGATTCAATACAGTATAGTATAGAAGTCCCTTCTCAAATTTGTCTATAGATTTAATGAAATTTCTGTCAAAATCCTAGCACATTTACAGAAGGTAGTCCAGGTAGGACCATTCGGTCTCTACACTAAAAGCTTATAAAAGACTGATAAAAGCTTATTTTAAAATTTATATGAAAAGGCACAACCTTAGAATTGATAACACAATCTTGACAAAGAATAAAATAAGAAGAATCATACTATCAAATATTAAGGTATACCATATAACTATAGTACTCAATACAATGCAATATTGGTGGAGGAAAAGACACATAGATCAATAAAATGCTATATGAGAATCCAGAAATGTACCCATACATATATGATTAACTAACTGATTTTTGACAAAGGGGCAGAAGCAATTAAATCTTGAAAGCATAGCCTTTTCACCAAATAGTGCTTGAGCAACTGAACATCCATAGGGGAAAAAGTCAATCTCAAACAGTCTCACAGCTCATATAAAAACTAACTCACAATGGTGCATCGATTTAAATGTAAAACATAAAACTATAATTTAAAAATATATTACGTACGTTAATATAATAGAAACTATGTTTTACAAAATAAACAGAAGAAAATCTTTGGGATCTAGCACTAGCAAAGAGTTCTTAAACTTGACAACAAAGGAATGAATCCCAAAAGGAAAAATCCGTAAGTTGGACTTCAAGAAAATTTAAAATTTTTGCTCTGGAAAAAAACTATGTGAAGAGAATGAAAAGACAATCTACAACGCAAGAAAAAAGCATCTGCAAATCATATAGGCTAGAAAGGGCTAGTATCTCATATATGTGTGTGTGTGTATATATGTATATGTGTGTGTATATATATACATATATATACATATATATGTGTGTGTATATATAATACATATATATACATATATGTGTATGTGTGTATATATATATATATAACTCAATGGTAAACCACTAATCCAATTAGAAATGAACAAATGACATGATCAGACATTTACTAAAGACAATATACAGATGACAAATACAAACATGAAAAGATGTTCAACATCATTAGCCATCAGGAAACTAAACATTAAAACCACAAACCACAGTGCAATATCACTACACGTCTATGAGAATGGCTAAAATACAACATAGTGACAACACTAAATGCAGCAAGAATGCAGAGAAACCGTTATCACTCATGCATTGCGGGTGGGAATATAAAATGGTGCAACCATTCTGAAAGGTAATTTGGCTGTTTCTTATAAAACTAAACATATAATTACAGAAATTGCACTCTAGGGCATTTATTCCAGAGAAATAAAAACTTATGTTCATACAAAAACCTGTACAATATTTGTATGAATGTTCACAGCAGCTATATTCCTAACAGCCAAAAACTGGAAGCAACCCAGGTGTCCTTCAATGGGTGAATGGTTAAACGAACTGTGGTACATATATCACAGAATACTACTCATCAATAAAAGGGAAGGAACTGTAGTTAGATAATGTTTAGATAATTATGCTGAGTTCATCTCAAAAGACTACATATTATATAATTCTATCTATATGCCATTTTTAAATGACAAATTTTAAGTGGTTTTCATGTGTTAGGTGTCAGACAGAGGGAGTCAAATGTAGGTGGTTATAAAAGCGCAATACTAGGAATCCTAGTGGTGATGAAAGTGCTCTGTATCTTGACTCTGGTGGGGGATACCTGAGGCTACCTGAATCTCCACATGTATTATAATGTTATAGAACTAAATACACACACACACTAATGAGCACAAGTTTTTTTAAAGAGAAAAAAAGATGAGCTTTTAAAATTTTTGGAATAAATTCATCTTTTCATAAGTTTTTGTTGTTGTTGTTGTTGTTGTTGTTTCAGATGGAGTCTCGCTGTGTCGCCCAGGCTGGAGTGCAGTGGCACGATCTCAGCTCACTGCAACCTCCGCGTCCCGGGTTCAAGAGACTCTCCAGCCTCAGCCTCCCGAGTAGCTGGGCTTACAGGCGCGCGCCACCACACCCGGATAATTTCTTGTATTTTTAGTAGAGACAGAGTTTCGCTATGTTGGCCAGGCTAACTTTCAACGCCTAGCCTAGAGTGCTCCACCGGCCTTGGACTCCCAAAGTTCTGGGACTACAGACATGAGCCACCGCGCCCAGCCACCTTTTCATAGGTTTAAGAGAGAAGGTAATTGTGCAAAATATGGAAAAGCAAGTCACAGAATGTGAGAAAATATTTACAAAACTCAGAACATTGCTGAGCTCTTCCCCTTCCACTAATCAATCCTTCTTCTTTCCACCAACGATACTTCCTGGTCTTGTAAATTCCAAGATTCTCTGCTGTGCTGCACTCATTTGGTATTTAATGTACACTACTCGTTTGTGATCCATTCGTGCACATGTGTATGGCACATCTCCCCAGTGAGGCTGCACGCCTAATATGCCCCATAATGCCTACTAGAGTGAATTCATCTGTTTAATGTTCAAGGTAAAATCTGGTTATTCTAAACCAAGGAAATTTTTTCTTTTTTCCATATTTATTTATCTTCCCTCTATTTCTTTTTTTAAGATAGACAATTCTTTCAAAATTGTATATTTACAGAAGAACTGAGATAATCGTACAGATAGTTTTCATATCCCCACCACCCAGTTTCTTCTGTTATTAACAGCTTACATTAGTATGGTACACTTGTTACAATTGATGAACCAATATTGATACATTATTATTAACTAAGAGTCCATTGTTTTTTCAGAGTTCTTTATTTTTTACTTACCATCTTTCCCTGTACATGGGTCCTATGCAGTATATCACATTACATTTACCAGTTATGTCTTTTTAGTTTCTTCTTTGCTGTGACAATTTTTTAGACTTTCCCAATAAAACCTTTTTAGAAACTTTAAGATTTTTTTCTTGAGAATTATCTGGGATAGGTACTTTCTTAAACCTTTTATCTTTGCTGACGGTATCATAATTCTAATGAGGTTAAAAAATGAAGTAAGAAACTCACATGGCTCATCAGACTGTGTCTTTTCACCCTACATAGTCATTCTCTAAAATACCTAAGGGAAAGAAGCTGGTGAATAGAAATCTATTTCCAGACATACTTTTAAGGACACTGACTTAATCATTCCTCCCACTCTCCATTTCTACATTTAGGGTCACCACATTTGGTTGGGCAGATTGTTCACGGCACCAAGGCACTCAGCCAAAGGGTGGGATAAAATCCACACCACACTCTACTCCCCAAGCTATATACCCATGGATTGTCTCTCCTGTAGGAACTGCTTATGACTAATTTACACAGAGGTGCCATTTGAGCTGGGGAGGTTGGGGTTTCTAAATATAGATAATTCTACTGCCCATTTGTCTTTTAAATTTATAATTCTTCTCTGATGCTCAAGTTAATATCATTTTATCCCTTACCTGAACCATTGCAATTACCTTCTCATTGCAATGAATACATACAAAACACTTTAGCATAACATAAAACATCTTCAGCTATCTGTCCTCAGCTTACCTTATTGGCTTCATCTACCTTTGCTATCCAGCATACAGCCTATTATCTAGCTACATGGGGCTATCTGAACATAAGCTCTTTTGTGCCTGTAGAAAATGGGGCAAAAGAAGCCCAAAACAGATCTCGAGAATTCGAGGTCAGAGAACTGTGACCCAGTTCCTAGATGAAGCCAAGGGAAGCATCAAGACTCTAACATAAAAATGGATGTTCAGTGTGTCTAAGCAGATGGGGCAGTATACAGCCATACAAAAACAGCAGAATGTTTGAGAAGGTATTGGAAATATCTAAGAGAGAGGCAGACTCAAAAGAACCCTTTGCTTAGAAACAAGAGCTGATTCAGCAGTGACCTGTGGGGGCCAATGTTCAAAGAAGAAAAAAATCTCAGCTGAAGACAATAACGCAGAGGGCTAGATGAACCCTTCCTTCTGCAGATTCCTCACCACAACTAAACCCTGTAACTCAGACCTACCCAGGTCAGGGGGAAAAGAGGTACTAAAGTGACTGAGATTGAGTTTTTGCCACCAAATGAAATGGAGGTCTGAGTTCATAAACCCAACTACAAACAATTACTAAATATTTCCCAGTATTTATTAATGTGTCTGATACATAGGATGCTCTCAAAGAATGTTTATTGAAAGAATGAACAAAACTCCTAATAATTATTTTAGGCCATCTCCAAGTCCTAAAATCCTGTCGTTTCCCACTAGGTGGCGACCATTAGCTGGAGTTCTTTACTTCCTGTGTCGTTACAGGATGATTTTCCCCAGTGACCCATGGATTCTAGTTTGTAGTTGGCAGAGGTCTTTCAGACAATTTTATTGGAATCTTTTTGATTTCTTCATATGTGAAACTGGGATTTTTGTCTCTAATCTTTCCCAGGCTGCCTCTGTAACTGCTGGGGAAGAAAGACGGAAGAATTGCTGCAGTTCATTTAAATACCAGAGCAACCACAGTAAACACGTCCCTTTCCCTCTCTTAAAAATGTTCTTTGGACATAGCCTGTGCAGGATTTTTCTCCCCTCTGCAAACATTTCTCAGGTCTGTCTCTCCTCCATGTTCCCCACCCCTGTTTAACTATGAGAAGTATTACTCCTTTTTAATTTATTTTTAAAAATTTCTAATTGCCTGAACATAAGAAAACAACTAGAAAAACTTACTTAGAAAACAAGCTTCTCAAGATGTAATTTAAAAATTAGAACATTGTCATATACTCACCCTCTCAAAAACAAAATTTACAGAAAATCTCAGTTACTTGAAAGTGAATAGTGAAGGGACTAGAAAAATTAGTAAAAACTACTGTAAAGGAGGGAGTAAAAAAAAAGTTTAAACGTGTTTCATTCTGACCTGAGACCTGAGAAAACATGTAGAGGACACCACTGAATCACCTCAATGAGCTTTGTGGAATTTTGTTTTTTCTGGGGTTTCTAGTCCTCATTCTAGTGTACACACTCTGCTGAGGCATCATCTCGGGCAGTTTTTGTCACGCGCCAATCCCAATACTGGAAGGCTTTTTCCTGCTGATTTCCCAGCCTATCTCTTCAGGAGGCTCTGGCCTCACTCACTCCTCAGGTGTGGCTTTGTGGACCCAGTGACTTGCTATAAATTTCCATCTGGATGTCTCCCAGAAAACCCAGATTCAAGAGGTCCAAAGCCTGATTTCACCACCACCCCCTGTAGGTCCCTTATCTGAAACAATGATATCACCATCCACTCAGGACAGAAACCTGGGAATTCCCCCAAAATCTTCCTTTTTCCTCACCCCAAACCGAATCCATCACCCAGTCCTGTCATTTGTATCTCTTGTCTCTATCCTTTCTGCTGTATTCCTAATGCAGGTTGAGTATCACTTATTCAAAATGCTTGGGACTAGACGTGTTTAAAATTTGGGATTTTTTCAGATTTTGGAATGTTTGCATATACATGATGGAATACCTTGGGGATGGAATTCAAGTCTAAACATGAAATTCACCTGCATTTTGTATACACCTTATACACATAACCTGAAAGTAATTTCATACAATATTTTTATTAATTGTGGGGCTTTATGGAGAACCTGCCTTTGGCACATTGGGCCTTCACATGTGACATTTTATTACCCTCTGTGGACTTGTTGTGGGGGGTACTCAGGGCACGGTGGAAAGGATATATCACAGCTGTATGTGGTGCACCTGCATTTTGACCACAACCTGTTACATGAGATCAAGTGTAAAATGTTTCACTTGTGTCATATTGGCACTCAAAACATTTCAAATTTTGGAGCATTTCAGATTTTGGGTTTTCAGATTAGGGTTGTGCAACCTGTATCCCTCTCTTGGTTTAAGACCTAATCAGCTCTCACTTGAATTGCTTCAGGATCTTAACAAATTTAATCGCCTCACCACCCTCCAAGTCATCACCTCATGGTCCCCAGATTGGTCTTTCCAGAACACAAATGTGATCAGGCATCTAATTCCTCTGCTTAAAACTCTATTCTATCTCTAGAATAAAAGTCCACACTCTTCCAGAAAACCCCGAGTCAGCCCCTGAGTACTTCTCTATCATCCACCACTGCTACTGACCTGAACCCTGCATTCCACCCGTCAAAACTACTTACATCCACAAAGGGGCCCTACCCTTGTGTGTCCCTATGCCTTTATTAACGCTCATGTTGCACCCTTTCTCTGGAATATCCTTCTGTCTCCCTCTTCTCCCATATTTATCTAGAAATCTACAAAACTTCTGCTTATTTTTCAGGACCCAGATCATCCCCCAAATTAATCATTCCTTCCTCCTGGTATATTATATGTAAATCTACTATAATGGCATTATAGTTTAATGCCAGTACTGTTAGCTTTCTAACAGCAGGGACTACTCCTTATCTTTGCATTCTTTAGTGCCAGGCATTCTCCCTAGCCCTGGGACTCAGTGCTCAGAATATCTCAAACAATGAATGAATGAAGAGGCAGAATATTGATTATCAAAATTTACTGATTATTTAATGAGACAAGCACTGTGCTAAAAACTTTATAAACATTATTTCATTTAATTCTTTCAGCAGTCCAATGAGGTAAGTTCTATCATTATTCTATTTTGCAGATGATATGTTTTAAGAAGTTACCAAATATATGCAAAATCACTATATGCAAATTAGGGGCTGAGATTCGTCACCTAGTTTGCCTGACCAGAGTTCAATTTCTTAAACTCAAATATCTATACTGCTTCTTCAAAGACTGAACACAATGAAATACTGCTCTAACTTTCAAAAAAAATTGTTTTAAAGAACATCATGACTTCTACAAACTTACTGGTTGTGAGTTTGATGCTGATTCCAGGACGAAAAAGTAAGAGCGAACCTCAGACATGGTTTATGAGTACTTAGTAAGAGAAGTCAAGTACCACTGGGCATTACTAGGATGCAAAATGGTTTGTTTATCTAAGAACAGTTTCCTTCCCTTCTGAGAGGCAGGATGACTTGACTATAAAACCAGGGAAATAAAATAGCTGAGTACAGGTGTGTGATTCTCTAATATCCTTCTTAGCCCTGCCCAACTGTGTATTAGTCATGCCATTTTGGGTGTTGACCCCAGCTTCAGAGCTGAGGTCTAAATCAGTGTTTCTCCAAGCACAAGTATGTAGGACTACCATCTGTACTGCTTGATAACAATTGATTTCCAATCTTCATGCCCAGAGAGTCTGAATCCATAGATCTGGAGGTCCGGGAATCTGCCCCCAGTTGCCTCTGATACAGACAGACTAGAAACATGTGTCCAAACCAATCGCAAGTACCCATCCCTTTGCCAGGAATCTTGGTTTAAGCCAACTAGTTCAGGTGTTTTCCTGGTAATGATTACTGGTCTAGGTATAGTTGCTTGGGTGACCAACCATCTGGGTTTGCCCAGGACTTTCTTGGTTTTAGTGCTGAACGTCCCACATCCCAAGAAATCTCTCACTCCTAAGCAAATCAGGATGGTCCACTCTAGGAGGATGTCCTAATAAGGTTGAAAGAATAGTCTTTCATTTACACTTTCTCTCATTGTCACCCTCCCTCTGGACAAAAACAAGAAACCATGTTATCCTCCCTGCTATTGGCAGCCATCTTACAACCACAAAGGAAGTTGACCTGAGGACAACACATGGGAAAAGGCAGAGCCAAATTACAAACAGCAAAACAGAGTCATGGCTGTGGTTGTATCATACTTGGAGCCCTTCCTACCTCTATGCACTCATAAATGTCCTTATTGTTTACTCCAGGTTGATTTAGCATTCCATCCTTGCAAGCAAAACTATCCTAACTAATGCACTTTGGCAAATCAGGATGTTAAAAAGAAATAGGACAAAGTCTCTTAAACAAAATGAAGATGTGGGCTCAAAAACAGAACGGTAGAGTGAATATGTCACTTTTGATTGTGGATAAAGAATTTCTCTGGGTTCTGTATTACCGAAGGTTATGTGGAAAATTATGTTGAGAACCTGAATCAGTATATAAAATATTCTGTGAAAGCTGACACAATGGCCTAAATCTAGCAAGATGAAATTTAAGAGCCCTACTTTTAGACTCCAAACAGTAATTAATTTCACAAGTTCAAGATAGTGGGAACATGGCTTAAGAACAGCAAGTGTGAAAGATTTAGGGATTTTGTTTGACTGTAAGCGCAATATAAGCCAACAGTGTGATGCAGTTGCCAAAAATGCTAATGCGATTTTAGGCTGCCTTACTAGAAGTGTAACAAAGATTTCCCCCAGGCCACACCAGCCGCAATAACCTTTAAAAACAGGGGCTTTCTGCTTCTTAAACCACACGTATTCTCCCATTCAATGCATGGGACTTCTAGTTACCCTCCCTGCACCACCTCTTTCTGGGGAATTCTTTCTTTTTTTTTTGAGACGGAGTCTCGCTCTCTTGCTCAGGCTGGAGTGCAGTGGCACGATCTTGGCTCACTGCAACCTCTGCCTCCCAGGTTCAAGCGATTCTCCTGCCTCAGCCTCTTGAGTAGCTGGGACTACAGGCACATGCCACCACACTCAGCTAATTTTTGTATTTTTAGTAGAGACGGGGTTTCACTATATTTACCAGGCTGGTCTCAAACTCCTGACCTTGTGATCCACCTGCCTTGGCCTCCCAAAGAGCTGGGATTACAGGCGTGAGCCACTGAGCCCGGCCTGGGAATTCTTTAAGGTTCTCTTACTGTGAACTTGTCCCTCTACTTTCTTTTGGAAATGACTCAACACAGAATTAATTTAGCTGCCTGCTTTCTGCATTCTGAAGTACAAGCTGCTAAACACTGAGGAAAAGCTGATAAATAATAGCACTGCAAGCTCATTTTCACCATTCTCAGCTAGGCTCTCCAAACTCTCCAGTAATCTCCCATTTGCTTTGGGAGACAGAAGGATCACTTGAGGCCAGGAGTTTGAGACCAGCCTGGGCAATATAGCAACACCCCATCTCTATGAAAAAAAATAAAAATCCAGGTATGGTGACCCGTGCCTACAGTCCTAACTACTTGGGAAGCTGAGATGGGAGGATCACTTGAGCCTAGGAATTTGAGGTTATAGTGAGGTGTAATTTTGCCACTGCACTCCAACCTGGACAACAGAGCAATGCCCTGTCTCTCAAAATAATAATAATAATCTTTCATTGTCCCAAGACAGGACTCTGTACCCTTCTCTAATAAACTTTACTCCTCTCCCCAAGATGTAGAAACCTGGCCTCTTTCTTTTAGAAAATATAATGTGAATTAACATAGCCCTTGCCCTCATCTGCTCCCTTGGGACCTCAGTCCCATGATTTTCTGGACACCTGCATGGATTATCTACTTCAAACTGAGAGACACTGAGACATGTGGAGGCCAATAAGCATCTTCAACTGGGCATCCTCTGAGTTCCTCCATGTTTTCCATGAATCCCTTTGGTCCCAAGGCTTCTGTCATTTAAGTACAAGGAACCAAAGTGCCGAGGTCCTCTAGGTGCCAAGTAGGCCTGTGTTTCAACTAACTGTGTGGCCTGGAGCCAGCTGCTGCCTCCATATCTCACACACAACAGCTCCTTCACGTTTTGTTTGTGGCCTTCTTTCAGAGGGGTTATAAATTCATATATCTTATTTTTTTTTTCCATCTTCACCTTTATTCTCCCCTTATCCCAACTAAAACTTCCTTCTCCATCATTTCACCAAAGAAGCTCTCCTGGAAGCTGGATCATATAACCAGCTGCTCTGGGGTCTGTTTCTCCAATCCACCCATTATGCCCAGTCACACTGGCAGCCCAGCCATGAACATACCCCAGGTCCAAGATTAGTCTTTCTCATATGGAAAAATTAGAGGTCAATGAACAGGAAGTTATATCCTTGGCTTTTCAGATCTGGGTTCTCTTCCCTGGTCTCCCAGTTCAGTGGAAGGGCTCTCTCCTCCTATCTTCATCACTACTCTGTGTCTGACACCTCTCATCACTTCAGAGCTTGTTTCTTTCTAGAATCCCCTGCCTCTTTCTTTTAAGACTTTCTTCTTTTTGGCATGGATACACACTAAAACCTTTCAAACCCCTCTTAAAACATAATAGAACAAGAAATTTAAAGAAGAAAAAAATACAAAACGTTTAACCCAGTGACATAACTAATAAAAATGTTCCCAGAGTAAAATCTAATGTGAACCCTCCTCTAAAAATGAGCTCACATCTTTCTTTCTTCTTTAAGTATTGTAAGTGGGATTGGCAAAGCAGAGACCAGCTTTTTTTCTTTTATTTTCTTTTTGGAGGAATTTGATGTGAACTGGGCAGTGAGATGAGCAGAGATAGAGGACAAGTACTTATTTTCCTTCTTTTCCTCCTTCTACAGTATTGAGATTGAATTACAAAAGAAGAGACTGTAGGGTCAGTTTCCTGACCCCGTGTGTTTTCACAGAGCCATCCCAGGTGCTCAAGGCCATTTCAGCCTGCTCTTGGGCTGCAGCTTAAGGTGGGCTCTGAGCCAGCCAAGGTTGGACAGCCCCTCTGTCTGCTCCTGCAGTGGCATAATACTGACACATCTTTGTCCTCTTCAGTTCCGGCCCCTCAGTCTCCACCGAAGAGCCAGCCCTTACCCCAACCTCCAACAAGCAGAATACACACATCGAGGCCCCTGACTCACAGCTTCTCTGCCATCAGCTTAGTGTTGCTAATGTCTCCCCATCATAGCCCTCACCTTATGAGCTCTCATACAGCTTCTCCGTGCTCCCCACCTCTCCTCAACTGCACCATGTGCCGTCCACTTCCCACCCTGCTCTACTGTCACATCGCATCCCCAGTGAACACCTTGTTGCTAAATTCATTTATTATCCTCCAGTCCCTTTATTACTTGGAATCTCTACATATTTATTGTTGGGCTTCATTTATTATTTCTTGAAATTTGTCTTCCCCTGTTCCGATGAAACCACTCGTCTTAGCCCTTCTTTCTGCCTCACAGTCTATTTAGTCTGTCTCCTTAGTTACCATAATTTATTCCCCTAAGTATTAGTGTTGCCCAAGATTCTGGTGTTTCTCCTTTAATTTTTTTCACTCTTCACTCCATCCTCAAGTGATTATACCCACTGCCATGCTCTCAACCACCATCTATAGACTGTCAACTTCCAAAGCTACATTTTTAATACCAATCTCTCTTCTGAGTTCCAAACCCATCTTCCTCCTAAATATATGTTGGATATCTAGTAAGAGACTTCAAATCCAACATATTGAAAATTGAACCCATCTTCACCCTTCCTTCATCCCAATGCCCGGCCTTCCCCTCATTGTCAACAGCACCAAATGCTCAGAACTGGGGGCCATCTAAAACATCCCCCTTTTCATCAATCACCCATATCTTTTCTGTAGGTTAAAACCTCATATCTTCTCTAGATGCCTGACTTCCAGTGATTTAGTCCAGGACCTTATCATTGTCTAGATGATGGCAATATCTTCCTGAAAGATTTCCTTACTTCTAATGCCCCCAGACTGAACTCCACTACCTATCTCCCCTTCTCACTATTATCAAAATATTTTTTCTAATAACATGATAATCTTATTATCTTGCTAAAATCTTTTAGTAGTGGCTTCTCGCTGACTTCAGGGCAAATGTCAAATCCCTTATCCTGTTTTATATGGAAATGAGACCCTTTTTATCAGCATTCTCAAACTCAGTCCACATGATATTTAAGAGAGTGATTTACAGTTCTCAGACTATCCTGCCATCATGAAAGAATAAATACAAGAAGAAACAGAAGAGAGAAAAGCCTTCCTTCCTTTAAAAAAATCAGTTTAAGCCCAAATCTCATGGTTAACTGTGTACCCACATGTTTCTCTCAACACTAGCTTGTGTAGTCCCTAAAAGCGGTAACAATTTTCTTTCATATTTTTTATCTCTAATGTTCAGCTTGATATATTGTTCAATAAATGGATGAAAGCAAAGGCAAAAACAAAAGGAAAAAGAGTGAGAGAGAGGAAAAGAAAAGGAAAAGAGTGCAGGAGAGAGAAAGAGTGGAGAAATGAAAAAAGAGAATAGAGAGAAAAAGGAAATGGAGGGACAGAGGAAGGGAAGAAAGAAGGAAGGAAAGAAGAACAAACAATTCTTAATGAAATTGTTTTATGATCACTTTCAAACCATGTTCTGCTCTTGGTCTGTCTCTGCCTGTCTTACAAACACACGCAGCCCCTAACAGCTTACCATACAATTTTTTAATCAAGCAATCTAATAAAATCATTTCTATTTGAAAGACAGAAAGAATATTTGACCTAAAGCATCCAAGAATCTTGTTGGAGAGCAAGCATCTGTAGACAGCTGGGGATTTTTTTTTTTTTTTTTTTTTTTTTGGAGAAAAGGAAAAAATGTTAGAAATTGAGGAGAATTATTAAATTTTCATCTCATTAATATTTAACCCTAGGTAAATCTTTAGCAAGCAGGAGAGGGAATATTAAAGTTCCCCTATATTCTAATTGAAAACTATAATTATGTTAGACTCCCAACTTAGGCAAAACTAGGGCCTGGAGTAATAACTGCTGCAAGAGTAAGCAACATTAGAGCCCTTCTTCCTGTTTTCTTATCTGTATGAGACACCATTTGATGGCCCTCTCCCTTTGCCTCGGGCGCTTCACCTTTCCCCCAGCTGATAGGATAGATAGGATGTAAGACAAGGTGCTGTGGATAATGAGCTGATAAGGTAAGGCTGTATATGGGGAAGGCATTTCAATGCCATGGTGTTCAGGAAAACACCCCAGTCCTAAAAGGACTGTCATAAGATGCCACCAGTTCATAAAAAGATCAGAGGGACTTCCCAGGACAACTTTCCACAGGATAAGGTGAAAAGACTTGAGAACAAGATGATGTGTATGCTCTCCCCATAGCAGTTATATAATTTGGGAGCTCACAGGCTGATGATGAAAGGAAAAGTTTTTTTGTCCTTTGAAAGCCTTGGCCAGCAGTGTACACTTTCATGAGATTTGGTTTGTTGCATTCCATATCTTTTGACCTATGAGGAAGAAATAGGGAGAAAAAAGTGCAGGAATGCTTCAATGAATTGCAATCAATGTGATATAACATGGATGCATGCTGCAAATTGCATGTGAGTGAAGTAAAGGAGGTGAAAGGTTCGCAGGAGCCAGAGAATCTTCATTGGGATGGTGAGGATTTTGGACTTGACCCCCCACAGGTAATGAGTGCCCATTCATTGAAAGATTTTAAGTTAAAAAATGAAAGAGATCTGGTTTTAGGTAGAAGAGAGAGAATGAAGACCAGGAAGTCAGGTCAGAAGTTTTGGAAATAATCTAGAATAGATATGATACAGTCCAAACTTCGTCAACAGAAGTGAAGAGCTGTGGTAAAACGGGCAAATGAGAGAGAGAGGAACTGAGAAAAAATGGGAAGTGGTCATAGGAAACATTTGCCCTAGCTCACACGACTCCAATTCCAGACTGCCTAATTTGACCAGCTGTTCCACAACCTGACAAACACACAGGAAAGGACATTTTTTATACTCTTGACAGATCTTAGCATTTAAAGCAGAACTCACCAACATTGCCCATTGGCAGTGCCTATGGTGCCTTTTAACATGAATGATTCCCGGAGCTGTGCTCGCTTCTCGTTACTGATTTTGTTGGTACCCTTGGAAAACTAAATCACTGCTTTAACATAAAATTGCATCAATAAATCCATGCTCCAGACACTAAAACGATGTCCATTTCTTAACACTTGCATTTTTAAAAGTGCCCAGACGCAAAAAGCAACATACATGTATAGTCAAAGATTTGAAATGTACCTCTTATTTTATTTATAATATTCCATTGACCGCTTATAATACATTTTCTTCTGAATATAATTAAAGTAAGTCTGTAAAGAATAATGAAAAACATAAACTTAGCAAATAAAACAAATGATTTTAGATAAAATAACACACTCGTTCAGTCATTCTCAAACCTAATATTCATTAAAATTACATCTGGTGAGTGTTAAACATTTACTCCCTGGGGCCCATCTCTAGAGATTCTTATTTATTAGAATTAAAGAAAGAGTCAGAATCTGAATTCTACTTAGCTTTCCCAGGCAATTCTGACATGGATGATCCATGAACCATGCTTTGAGAATGTACACTATCTCTTTTGTACAGTACTTGTTCCACAGCATATCAGCAAAATGTATCAGACTTTTCCCTCATTGACAAAGATTTTTGCCTCTTCTCTTACTAAATATAAGAGATTCACACTGTAAAACTTTTATCCAAGAAGGAACACAGGAGTTCAACATAAAAATGAAAGAAACTTCAGATACTTTTAAAAATACGATGGGCAATGTCCTATGCTGTGGGTCCAGTGGAAAATGGTGGCTGGGTCCCCAGTGCATGAGATGGGGAGAGTATCTCTGCAATACACATTCTCTCTGGGGAACTGAGCAATCCAGGCCACACAGGAACTACTTGACCCTTCCAAATGCTGGATCTGATTTGGGAAGTAGTAGGGAGACTGTGAGAAGGAGTGGCAGCAGGAAGTGCTTTATGCATGCTTCCAGACCCTGGCACCCATAAAAGAAGGATGTTCCTGATCCTAACTCATAGCAGGCTACACAGAAATCTGCCAGTCAGCATGGGCAGCAGTCACTAGTTTGGAGAACCTCAGGGACAGAGATTTGCAATCTAGTCTCAAGTGGAGGAGGAGCCCACATGGCCAGATCTGAGAGGTGACTGTGGCAAGGGCTTAAGCCATGGGTGTGAGAGTTGGGTGCCTCCACTTCCTGGGACAGAGCTGGGAGGGGTATGGCCTGGGAGCTGTGGTTTTCATCCCAGGCAGGGAGTTTTGTGGTCTGGGACACTTTCATGATCTGAGGACAGACTGCTTGAGTCTTGGCTGAGTGTTTCAGCTTGCTGCTTTTAGTAGGGCATGGGAGGGAGCCCCACCAGGTTCAGAGCATAGAAGGGGTATGGGTCCCACTACTGCCTGCTTGCCTGGGAAACCTAGCCACCCCTCTTTCTCCCACTGGTTCTTTGGAGTGGAAGAAGTTGTTCCATTTCTCACTGAAGCATTGCCTCAGTGGCCTGAGAACTGCCTTCTGACTCCAACTCCCTCAGGCCCCAGTGCTTGTGCTCAGCTTTTGGGAGCCTGAGCACAGACTTGCCCAACCCAGCCCTACCTGGCATTTATTTTCTTCCTCATCCACCTAGAAGGCAGAGCATGAGACTAGGACCCCTGGGAGTGTCACGTCCCAGCACGTACCCTGGAACATCTGAGTACTTCTCCTGGTTAACAAAAGTCAAGCATAATAAACATTGCTGCCACAACTATAGCTGGCTCCCACCTGCAAGAGCCACCTACTTGCTAGGAGGTCAGCCTACACAACATCTGCTGATACAAGTGCTCAGGAAAGAGACAAACTTTGCACAACCTTTGCTACCATCATCCACACTGCCTGAGTTACTTAGGAAGCCCACTCACCAGCCCAGTACATTACTACTACAACTGACATTTGGGAAAGCCACCACACTAAGGCTATTTATAACCAAGGAGATCATATAGTCTATGCCACTCCCCCATGACCCCTGTCATGGCTGATGCTTGTGCCTACCATTGGGGGACCCAATGGCAGATTGCTTGGTCCAGACCTACTACGTTTTGCTCCCTCCCCAACCCAGAGCTGAGCATGGTGCCCAGGCTACTGTGTGTTCCACGGGCCAGCCCATTGCCTGAGGCACAAGAGAGTTTCTCCTGCTAAACAAATATCAAGCATAGATGGTATTGCTACCACCACAGCTAGCACTTACTGGCAAGCCCTGACTGCTGGCCTGAAAATCAAATTGCACAACTGAATACAAACTCTTCTGACATAAATTGCACAGTTCTTGGGAAGAAGATAAGATTCTTGAGATCTCTGCCACCCCACTTCTGCAGGAGGCTGTGAGCCTACTCATATGCCCAATACACTACTACAACCAGCATTTGAGAAAACCACAACATTAAAGTTATCTATAACCAAGGAATTCATACAGAGATTTTGCCACTGAGAGCACCCAGAAGCAAAGCCAAATGACCTTAGTTAATTAGTCAATATTCATTATAGTAATACTGCTCAAAGGGGAAAAATTCCCATCTAAATGGGAGTAAATTCAAAGATAAGAAGTGATAATTTCTCCAGATGAGAAGGAACAGTGTAAAAATTCTGGAAGTGTACTAGCCCATTCTCACAGTGCTCTAAAGAAATACCTGAGACTGGGTAATTTATTAAAAAAAGAGGTTTAATTAGCTCATGGTTCTGCAAACTGTAGAGGAAGCATGGCTGAGGAGGCCTCAGGAAACTTACAACCATGGCGGAAAGCAAAGGTAAAGAGGCACATCTTACATGGTCAGTGTCGTAGGAAGAAAGAGGAGGGGGAGATGCTACACACTTTTAAACAACCAGATCTTGGGAGTACTCACTGACTATCATGAGAACAGCAAGGGGGAAGTCAGCTTCCATGATCCAATCACCTCCTACCAGGTCCCTCCTCTGACATTGGGAATGACAATTTGACATGAGATTGGAGCAGGGACACAAATCCAAACCATATCATTCAGCCCCTGGCCCCTCCCAAATCTCATGTCCTTCTCATATTTCAAAGTACAATCATCCCTTCCTAACAGTCCCCCAAAGTCTTAACTCATTTCATCATTAACTCATAAGTTCACAGTCCAAAGTGTCATCTGAGACAAGGCAAGTCCTTTCCACCTAGCCTGTAAAATCAAAAACAAGTTAGTTACTTCCAAGATAAAATGGGGGGTACAGGTATTGGCTAAATACCCCTGTTCCAAAAGGGAGAAATCAGCAGAAACAAAGGGGCTACAGGCCCCATGCAAGTCTGAAACCCAGCAGGGCAGTCATTAAATCTTAAAGCTCTAAAATAATATCCTTTGACTCCATGTCTCATATCCAGGCCACAGTGATGCAAGGGGTGGGCTCCCAAAACACTGGGCAGATCCTCCCCTGTGGCTCTCCAGGGCTCAGCTCACATGGCTGCTCTCACAGGATGGTATTGAGTGCCTGCAGCTTTTCCACAAATACAGTGCAAGCTGTCAATGGATCTACCATTCTGGGGTCTAGAGGACAATGGCCCTCTTCTCACAGCTTCAATAGGCAGTGCCCTGGGGGGATTCTGTGTAGGGGCTCCAATCCCACATTTCCCCTCTGCATTGCCCTAATAGAGGTTCTCCATGAGGGCTCTGCTCCTGCAGCAGACTTCTGCCTGGACATCCAGGTGTTTTCATACATCCTCTCAAATCTAGGCAGAGGCTCCCAAGCCTCAGCTCTTGTACTCTGCACACCCACAGGCTTAACACCACATGGAAGCTGCCAAAGCTTATGGCTTGCACCTTCTGGAGCAGAGGCCTGAGATGTATCTGGGGCCCTTTTAGCCATGGCTGGAGCTGGAGCAGCTGGGATGCAGGGAGCAGTGTCTCAAGACTGTGCAGGTCAGCAGGGTCCTGGGCCTGGCCCACAAATCCATTTTCCCTCCTAGGTCTCTGGGCCTGTAATGGGAGGGGCTGCCATGAAGGTTTTTGAAATGGCTTAGAGGCATTTTCCCCATTGCTTTGGCTTTTAACATTTGACTCCTCTGTACTTATGCAAATTTCTGCAGACTTCTTGAATTCCTCTCCTGAAAATTGGTTTTTCTTTTCTACCACATGGCCAGGCTGCAAATTTTCCAAACTCCTATGCACTGCTTCCCTTTTAAATGCAAGTTCCAGTTTCAGATGATCTCTTTGTTCACACATATGAGCATATGCTGTTAGAAGCAGCCAGGCCACCTCTTGAATGCTTTGCTGCTTAGAAATTCTTTCCGCCAGATATGCTAAATCATCACTCTCAAGGTCAAAGTTTCACAGATCCTTAAGGCAGGGGAACAATGCCTCCAACCTCTTTATTAAAGCATAACAAAAGTGACTTCTGCTCTAGTTCCCAATAAGTTCTTCATCTATATCTGAGACCATCTCAGCCTGGACTCATTGTTCATATCGCTATCAGCATTTTGGTCATATCAATTTAACAAGTCTCTAGTAAGCTCCAAACTTTCCCTCATCTTTCTGTCTTCTGAGCCCTCCAAACTGTTCCAACCTCTGCCCACTACCCAGTTCCAAAGTTGTTTCTACAGTTTCAGGTATCTTTATAGCAATGCCCAACTCCTCAATACCAATTTTCTGTATTAGTTCATTCTTACACTGCTATAAAGAAATACCTGAGATTGGGTAATTAATAAAGAAAAGAGGTTTAATTGGCTCACAGCTCCACAGGCTGTATAGGAACCAGGGCTGAGGTGGCCTCAGGAAACTTAAGCATGGTGGAAGATGAAGAAGAAGTAGGCACATCTTACATAGCTGAAGCAGGAGAAAGAGAGAAAAGATAGAGGTGCTACACACTTTTAAACAATCAGATCTTGTGAGAACTCACTCACAAGTGTTCAGCAAGGAAGAGTTCTGCCCTCATGATTCAATCAACTTCTACCAGCCCCTCTTCCAACACTGGGGATTACAATTAAACATGAGATTTGGATGGGAACAAAAATCCAAACTATATCAGGAAGTATAAGAAAACAGGGTGTTACAGCACCCCAAAAGGATCACACTAACTCTCTAGCATTGGACCCTAACCAAAATAAAATTTTTGGAATACTAGATAAAGAAGTCAAAATACTGATTTTAAAGAAGGTCAATGACATCCAAGACAAATTTGAAAACAAATACAAAGACATCAGAAAATTAATTCTGATATGAATGAGAAATTTACCAAAAGGCAGGTATTTTTATTGAAAACAAACAAACCAACATAACTTTTGGAAATGAAACATTCATTGAAGGAATTACAAACTATAGGTGAAAACTTCAATAGTCAACTAGACTAAGAAGAAGCAATAATCTCAGAAATTGAAAACAGTTCTTCTGAATGAATCCAGTGAGACAAAAAAAAAAGAAAGAAAAAGAACTAAAAGATGAACAAAGGCTTCAAGAAATATGGGACTATGTAAAACATCTGGACCTAAAAAAATCACAGGTATTCCCAAGGGACAAGAAAAGGTAAAATGCTTGAAAAACCTATTTGAGGAAATATTGAGGAAAACTTGTCTAGTCCAGCAAAATATTTAGTCATTCAGATAGTAAAGGCTCAACAAACTCCAGAAAAATATATTACAAAAGGACCTCACCATGACATATAGTCATCACACTATCTAAGGTCAAAATGAAATAAAAAATTCTAAATTCAGCAAAAGTATCTAGTCACCTATAAAGGTAACCCCATTATACTAAGAAAAGATTTCTCAGCAGAAATCTTACAAACCAGAAGAGACTGGATTATATGTTCAAAGTGATTTATGTATAAAACTGTCAACCTTGAATTTTGCATTCTGCTAGAATAAGCTTTATACATGAAGGAGAAATACAGCCTTTTTCAGAAAAGAAAATGCTCAGGAAATTCATCATCACTTGACTGGCCCTACAAGAAATGTTCAAGGTTGTTCTAAACATGGAAACAAAAGGACAATACTCGCTATCATAAAAACAAATAAAAGTATAAAACCTACAGATCTTATAAAACAATTACAAAAATGAAGTGGCAAAGAACTAAATAAAAATTAGTGGTATGAAAAACAAATCCTAACATGTCAATATCAACTTTAAATGTAAGTGGATTAAATGTACCATTTAAAAAGATATAGATTGGCGGAATGAATAAAATAATATGATCTAGATTACAGAGTAGGCAAAGCAACATGGCTGAATGGAAGCCTATAGTGATTATCCTTTCTGCTGGAGACTTAAACACCCCATTTTCAGCATTAGACAGATAATCCAGACAGAAAATCAACAAGGAAACATTGGACTTAATCTATGCAATAGACCAAATGGGCCTAAAACATATTTATAGAACTTTTCTTCAACTGCTGCAGAATATACATTGTTCTCCTTAGAACATGAATCATTTTAAAGGATAGACCATATGTTAGGTCACAAAACAACTCTTAAAAAATTCAAAGAAATTGAAATTATATTAAGTGTCTTCTCTGATCACAATGGAACAAAACTAGAAATCAATAACAAGAGGAATTTTGGAAACTATACAAACATATGGAAATTAAACAGTATGCTCCTGAATGACCGGTGGTTTGATGAAGAAACCTAGAGGGAAATTAAAAAATTTATTCAAACAAATGAAAATGGAAATAAAACATACCAAAACCTATGGAATAGAGTGAAACTTATGGGATAACAGGAAAGTTTATAGCTATACAAGCCTATTTCAGAGAAGCAGAAAAATTCTAATAATCAAACTAATGATGTATCTTAAAGAATTATAAAAGCAAGAACAAACTGAACTCAAAATTAGTAGTAGGAAAGACATATTAAAGATCAGACGTATTAAAGATCAGTAGGAAAGACATATTAAATACATATTGAAGACATAAAATTGAGAAAAAATACAAAAGTTCAACAAAATAAAACTGCGTTTGCTGAAAAGATAATCAAAATTGTCAAGCCTTTAGACAGAATAACTTAAGAAAAAAGAAAGAAGACCCAAATAAATAAAGTCAGAGATAAAAAGGAGACATTACAACTGACAACACAAAATATAAAAAATAATTGCTATCATGAACAACTATATGCCAATAAATTAGAAAACCTAGAAGAAAAAGACGAATTCCTAGACACATACAATCTACCAAGATTGAACCATGAAGAAATAAAAAACCTGAACAGACCAATAATAGGTAATGCAATTGAAGTCATAATAAAAAGTCTCCCAGCAGAGAAAAACGCAAGAACTGATGGCTTCACTACTGAATTTTACCAAACCAGTAGTTTAAAAAAGACTTAATACCAATCCTACTCAAACTATTCAAAAAAATAGAGGCAGAGGGAATACCTCCAAACTCATTATTTGAGGCTGGTATTACCCTGATACTCAAACTAAACAAAAACATTAAAAAAAAAACAAATTACAGGCCAATATTCCTAATGAACATTGATACAAAAATTCTCATCAAAATACTTGCAATTCAAGTTCAATAACACATTAAAAAGATCATTTATCATGACCAAGTGAGATTTATCACAGGGATGCAATGATGGTTCAACACATAAAAGTCAATCAATGGGATACATCATATCAATATCAACAGAATGAAGAACAAAAAGTATATCATCATTTCGGCTGATGCTGAAAAAGCATTTGATAAAATTCAAGATTGCTTCATAATAAAAACTATTTGAAAAAACTGATATAGAATGAACACACCTCAACATAATAAAAGCCATATATGGAAACCCACAGCTAGTATTATATTGAATAGGAAAAAAACTGAAAGCCTTTCCTCTAAGATCTCAAATATGACAAGAGGGCCCACTGTGACCACTGTTATTCAACATAGCAGTGAAAGTTGTAGCTAGAGCAATCAGACAAGAGAAGGAAATAAAGGGCATCCAAGCTGGAAAGGAAGAAGTCAGATTTTTCTTGTTTGTGAATGATATGATGTTATATCTGGGACTCCACAAAAAAACTATTAAAATTGATAAACAAATTCAGCGAAGTGTTAGGATACAAAATCAACATGCAAAAATCAGTAGCATTTTGATATTACAAGAGTGAACAATCTAAAAAGAAATCAAGAAAGTAATCCCATTTGCAATAGCTACAAATAAAATAAAATGCCTAGTTAAACACCTTAACTGAACTAAAGAAGTAAAAGATCCCTACAATGAAAACTATGAAACATCAATACAAGAAATTGAAGAGGATGCAAAAAAGAAAGATATTTCATGTTCACAGACTGAAAAAAAACAATATTGCTAAAAATTTCCATGCTACTGAAAGCAATCTGCAGGTTCAATGCAATTCCAATGAAAATAGCAATTAGATTCTTCACAGAAACAGAAAAAATAATCCCAATATTTATATGGAACCACAAAAGACCCAAAATAGCCAAAGACATCCTCAGCAAAAAGATAAAACCTGAAAGAATCACATTACCTGACTTCAAATTATACTACAGAACTATAGTAACCAAAACAGAATGTTACTGGCATAAAAACAGACACACAGACCAATGGAACAAAGTAGATAACCCAGAAACAAATTCATACCTTCAGAATGAACTCATTTTCAACAAAGGTGCCAGGAACACACACTGGGGAAAAGACAGTCTCTTTAATAAATGCTGGTGGGGAAACTGGATATCCATATGCAGAAGAATGAAACTAAACCCCTATCTCTTGCCATATTCAAAAATCAAATCAAAATGGATTAAGGACTTAAATCTAAAACCTGAAACCATGAAACTACTACAAAAAAACATTGGGGGAACTCTCCATGATATTGGTCTGGTCAAAGATTTCTTGAGTAATACCTCATATGCACAGGCTACCAAAGCAAAAATTGACAAATTAGATCACATCAATTTAAAAAGCTGCTGGCCAGGTATGGTGGCTCCCGCCTGTAATCCCAGCAGTTTGGGAGGCTGAAGTGGGTGGATCACCTGAGGTCAAGAGTTTGTGACCTGACTGGCCAACATGGTGAAACCCCATCTCTACTAAAAATACAAAAATTAGCCAGGCATGGTGGTAAGTGCCTGTAATCCCAGCTACTCGGGAGGCTGAGGCAGAAGAATCACTTGAATCCAGGAGGCAGAGGTTGCAGTGAGCTGAAATCATGCCATTGCACTCCAGCCTGGGAGACAAGAGTGAGACTCCATCTCAAAAAATAAATAAATAAAATAAAATAAATAAAAAGCTTCTATACCACAAGGGAAAATATCAACAAAGTGAACAGACAACCCACAGAATGGGAGAAAATACTTGCAAACTATTAAACTTACAAGAGATTAATAACTAGAATACATAAGGAGCTCAAACAACTCAATAGGAAAAAAATCCAATAATCCAATTTTTAAAATGAGACAAAGATGTGAATAGACATTTCTCAAAAGAAGACATACAAATGGCCAACAGGTATATGAAAATGTGCTCAATACCATTGATCATCAGAGAAATGCAAATAAGAACCACAATAAGATATCACTTCACCCCAGTTAAACAGGCTTTTATCCAAAAGACAGGCAATAATGAATGCTAGTGAGGATGTGGAGAAAAGGGAACCCTCATACACTGTTAGTAGGAATGTAATTTAATACAGCCACTATAGAGAAAAGTATAAGCATTCCTCAAAAAAGTAAAAATTTACCTACCATATAATCTAGCAATCCCACTGCTAGGTATATACCCAAAATAATGGATATCAGTATATCAAAAAGAGATCTACACTCCCATGTTTATTCCAGCACTATTCACAATAGCCAAGATATGGAGGCAACCCAAATGTCCATCAGCATACAAACGCATAAAGAAAAAATGGTACATATACGTAACAGAGTGCTATTCAGCCATAAAAAAAAGAGACCCTGTCATTTGCAACAACATGGTTGGAACAGAGAACATTATGTCCAGTTAAATAAGAAAGGCACAGAAAGACAAACTTTACATCTTCTCACTCATTTGTAGGAGCTAAAAATTAAAAGAATTGAACTCATGAAGATAGAGAATAGAAAAATGGTGCTAGAGGCTGGGAATAGTAGGGGAGAAGGATGGTGTCGGGGGGGAAGTGGGTATAGTTAATAGGTACAAAAACATAGTTAGATACAATGAATGTGATCTAGTATTTGATAACACAGCAAGGGGTCTTTAGTCAACAATAATTTATTGTATAATTTAAAGTAACTAAAAGAACATAATTGGAATGTTTGTAACACAATGAAATAATAAATGCTTGAGGTGATGGATACCCCATTTACCCTAATATGATTATTACACATTATGCCTGTAGCAAATTTTATACACACACACACACACACACACACACACACACACACACACACACACCTGCTAGGTACGCATGAAAGTTAAAAAATAAAAATAATATGGTCTAACTATATGCTTCTTACAAGAAACTCATTTTACTGATAAAGACACTTACAGACTGAAGATAAAGGGGTGAGAAAAGATATTCCACAAAACAGAAACCAAAGCCTGGCAGAAGCAGCTATTCTTACGTCAGATAAAACAGACTTTAAATCAACAACAGTCAAAAAAAATTATATAATGATAAAGGGATCAATTCAACAAGAAGATATAACAATCCTAAATATATATGCATCCAACACCAGAGCATCCACATTCATAAAACAAATACTACTAGACCTAAGAAAAGAGATAGACAGCAATACAATAATAGTGGAGAACTTCAACATCAAACTGACAACACTAGACTTGGACTTTAGACCAAATGGACTGAACATACACAGTACATTCTACACAACAACCAAAGAATATAATTCTCATCAGCACATGGAGAATTCTTCAAGATAGGCCACATGTCAGGCCACAAAACAAGTTTCAACAAAGTTTAAAATATCAAAATTTTATCAAATAACTTCTCAGACTACAGTGGAATAAAACTAGAAATCAATTCCAAGAGGAACTCTCAAAAGTATGCAAATACACAGAAATTAAACAACACGTTTCTGAAAAATCTTTGGGTCCACAAAGAAATTAAGGTAAAAACTAAAATTTTTTTGAAATAAATGAAAATGGAGACACAACATAACAAAGCCTCTGGATACAGCAAAACCTCTCTCTTAGCAAAAGCAGTGCTAAGAGAGAAATTTATAGTGTTAAAGTTCTATGAAGCCAGTATTGCCATGATACCAAAGCTGGGCAAGAACACAAGAACAATAAAACCATAGGCCAATATCCCTGATGATCATAGATGTAAAAATCCTCAAAAAAAAAAAAAATACTAGCAAGCCAAATCCAAGAGTACATTAAAAAGATAAGACAACACCATTTAGTGGATTTTATTGCAGGGATGCAAGAATGGTTCAATGTACCCAAATCAATAAATGTGATTCACCACATAAACAAAATTAAAAACAAAAATTATATGATTATCTCAATAGATGTAAAAAAGCATTTGATAAAATTCAGCATCTCTTCATGATAAAACCCTCAATAAATGAAATGGAAGGAACATACATCAATATAATAAAACCTGTCTTTGACCAACCCACAGGCAACAACATACTGAATGGGAAAAAGTTGAAAGCGTTTCTCCCTAAGAGCTGAAACAAGACAAGAACAAGACAAAAAGGTCTACTTTCTCCACTCCTATTCAACATGTACTGGAACATCAAGTGGGACTTAATTAAACTAAAAAAATTCCACAAATCTAAAAAACAATCAGCAGAATGTACAGACAATCTGCAGATGAGAGAAAATATTTGCAAGATATGCATTTGATAAGGCACTAATATCCAGAATCTACAAGAAACCCAAACAACTCAACAATGAAAATAACAATAATAATAAAATAGTCCCACTAAAAAGTGGGCAAAGAGCATGAACAGACATTTCTCAAAAGAAGACATACAGTTGGCCAATGAACATATGAAAAATAGGTTCAACATTACTAATCATGGGAGAAATTTAGATTAAAACCACAATGAGATACCATCTTACATAAGTCAAAATGTCTTCTATTAAAAAATCAAAAAACGAAAGACATTGGAAAAGATGTGGAGTAAAGTGAATGCTTATACACTGTTCGTAGGAATGTAAGTTTGCATAATGTCTATGGAAAACAGCATGGAGACTTCTCAAAAACCTAAATGTAGAACTACCATTGGATCCAGCAATCCCAGTACTGGATATCTATCCAAATGAAAAGAAGTTATTATGTAAAAAAGACACGTGCTCTCATACATTTATCACAGCACTATTCACAATGGCAAAGATATGATCTCAACCTAAGTGTTCGTCAATGAATGACTAACTAAAGAAAATGTGGTATATATTTATACCATGGTGACATAGTTTGGCTGTGTCCCCACCCAAATCTCATCATGAATTGTAGTTCCCATAATCCCCACATGTCATGGGAGGGACCTGGTAGGAGGTAATTGAATCATGGGGACAGTTTCCCCCATGCTATTCTTGTGACAGTGAGTAAGTTCTCACAAGATCTTATGGTTTTATAAGGGGCTTCCCTTTTCACTTGGCTTTCATTTTGCTCCTTCTGGCTACCATGTGAAGAAGGCAATGTGTTTCCTTCCCCTTCCACCATGATTGTAAGTTTCCTGAGGCCTCACCAGCCCTGTGGAACTGTGAGTCAATTAAGCCTCTTTCCTTTTTTGGGGGGCTCTGTCATCCAGGCTGGAGTGCAGTGGCACGATCTCGGCTCACTGCAAGCTCTGCCTCCTGGGTTCACGCCATTCTCCTGCCTCAGCCTCCCGAGTGGCCAGGACTACAAGCACCCGCCACCACGCCCAGCTAATTTTTTGTATTTTTAGTAGAGACGGGTTTTCACCGTGTTAGCCAGGATGGTCTCAATCTCCTGACCCCATGATCTGCCTGCCTCGGCCTCCCAAAGTGCTGGGATTACAGGTGTGAGCCACCGTGCCTGGCCAGCATCTTTCCTTTATAAATTACCCAGTCTCAGGCAGTTCTTTGTGGCAGCAGGAGAATGGACTAATACACATGGAATGCTACCAAGACATAAGAAAGAATGAAATCATGTCTTTTGCAGCAACATGGATGAAACTGGAGGCCATTATCTTAAGTGAAAGAACTCAAAAACAAAGTCAAATGCTGCTTGTTCTCTCTTGTAAGTGGGAGCTGATAATGTGTACACATGGACGTAGTGTGGAATAATAGACATTGGAGGCTGGGGAAGGCTGGGAAGGTGGGAAGGGGATGAGGGATGAGAAATTACTTAATGGATACAATGTACCCTATTCAGGTGATGGCTACACTAAAAGCCCAGACTTCAGCACTACACAATATATATGCATAACTAAACTACACTTGTATCCCCAAACGTATGCAAATTTTAAGAGGAGAAAAATAGTTTAAAAATCAGGCTCACCAAAATTGTAAAGCAAAATCTTCTGATGTTTGATTTACTTTGAAGGAGAAATTGGAAAGCACAGCAGACTAATTAGAGATCAGGAAGTCCTAACCTAAGGTTATTCTAATGCTAACTTACCTGATTGTGAGCTGTCTCATTACAGCTAGTTGGGATTTGCAGAAACAGTGCTCTGTGCTCATGGGAATTACAAGAATGAGGCATTTACTGTCAGATTTAGTTCAAGATCCAATAGGTAACAAGTTATTATTTATGACTAGAGTCCAGGGCAGAAACAGGCCAGGAACCGGACGAAATGGTCGGAGATACAGACAAGTAAGAGGGAAACAAAGCACAAGGGAGTTGTAACAAACTAAATTGTTCTCCAGGTGATTCTATGTGAATCCAAGATTGAAATCCACTCCTCTAAATAGCTCCTTCTCCCAACTCATCATGTTGATTGGCCCAGTTGTAAGGGAAAAGGCTCAAATTCCAGTACCTTTGGGCAACACCTATTGATGTTCCAAGACTCAGCTTTAATATTATGTCCTTGATGGTACCCATTCCATCCTCATTCCTGTGGGCTCTATTATGCACTATGTGCATACAATTTTATTATAACACTGGTAATTTCCATATACTTATTTTTCTCCTCCACTGGGGTCCCAAAGGGCATGATTTGTATGTCTTTGTAGCCCCATTCCACTTGGCATATAGTCTGACAGGTGACAAATCCTCAATAAATGTTTATTAAATTATTAAGAATTTATAAATATGTATTTATTCTTAAATATATATTTAACCAGCCCATGTGGCTCATTTTATATATGTTTTGGACATTTATAAAAGGAAGAAAATGAACTATATTTTCTCTAAATCTTAAACCCTTTAAAATCTAAAATTCTGCGATTTCTGTCTCCCTGCATCATATAAAAATTATATATATGATGACAGAAATAATACTTTAGGTCTGTACTTCCCAAACATTAACATTCATGCTTCTCACCTGGGGATCTTGCTAAAATGCAAATCATGATTTGGTAGCTCTTGGAGTAGGCCTGAGATTCTGCATTTTTAGTAGGCTCCAAGGTCTTTCTGGTACCATCTGGTCAAGGACAGCACTTTGAGCAGCACAATTTTAGGAGATGGAGACTGATCCTGGCCCTCATGTCACATATTATAAGGCAGATGATATGATTTGGCTCAGTATCCCCACACAAGTTTTATCCTGGATTGTAATTCCCACATGTTGACAGAGGGGCCTGGTGGGAGGTGATTGAATCATGGGGCAGACTTCCCCCTTGCTTTTCTCATGATAGTGAAAGTGAGTGAGTTATCACGAGATCTGGTGGTTGTTTCAAAGTGTGTTGCACTTCCCCCTTCGCTCTCCTGCTCTGCCATGGTAAGACCTGCTCAATTCCCCTTTGCATTCTGCCATGAGTTTCCTGAGGCCTCCTAGCTAGGTCTCCTACCTTAACAGGAAGCCTGTAGGCTACTGCAGAACTGTGAGTCAATTAAACCTCTTTTCTTTATAAATAACCCAGTCTCAAGGTAGCTCTTTATAGCGGTGTGAAAACAGACTAATACAGCAGATAATGTAAACCTGAGCATCAGACTGCCTGGTTCAGATCCTGGTCCTGACACTTTTCTAAGACATTGGACAAGTCGTTTTCTAACATATTTGTACCTGAACTTCCTTATCTGTAATAGACCGATGATAGGGCTTTCGTAAAATGAACAAGTTAATTTATGTGCAATCCTTATTATGATGCTGCACTCATAATAAATGCAATATATATGAATACTACAGTTTCACTCTGTATAAGTCTACTTGTTTTAGTGGTTATCAGTTCCATATGTTCAAGAGCCCTAATTTTTTAAAAAAATCTTGAAAATTGTACAGAGAAGATGTATTTCCTTAGATTGAGAAAGCAAATGTAGGTTTCATAAGCCAAGAGACAAAATTAGAAGAAAGAAAAAAATTAACTTGTCATTTGTCTAGTAACATCTTTTCCTGCCTTCGCATGTCACAACTGCTCTGTGATAACTTTGAAAATACGTAGTACGTGTACCATTTCAGAAAAGGTAAAATTCTGGCATTAAAATTCATAACAAAAAGATACTCCAGCTAGAATATATGAATTGAAACTCAGTGCAGCATAAACATTAGCACATACAAAAAATACTTTTAACAATAGGATGCAGAACTCCTTTCCTGACACTAACATATCAGTTCTTCCACAAGCCAATTGCTTTTTAATGACAAATGTTAAACTCCTAGGGAGTTGTTAGAATGCAGAAAAGACAGCCCCAACCTAAAATAATAGCAAGTATAGGACTCAGCTTCAGAAAAGAAGAAAAAGATAAGGATCAGCAAGCAGAAAAAATCCCCAAACCAGAAAATCTAACATTATTAGGAGTATTGTGTCACTTTAAGAAGGAAAAAGGGAAAAAAGATAAAAGATGTCCCCAAAAAATCTTTTTGAGTTCCTAGTATCTGCCAAGTGTTTCAAATATATTTGAGTCGTAAATATCCAGTAACACTCTGTGGAAGGTGTTACAAATCTCATTTCACAGATGAGAATCTGAGAGTCAGAAGGTTATGCTTGCCAGACCTAGTTTTGACAGAGCTGGGATTTGAATCTGTTAGTGGATACTGTATGACTATATGATACTATGTAATTATATATGACTCTAGTTAGTTCCATCTCCTCAAACTTTGAAAGAACCTTCAGATATTTTTATTTTGAGATAATTTTACTCTTACTAATTTTATTTTTTTAATTTTTAATTTTTGTGAGTACATAGTAGGTGAATATATTTATGGGTTATGAGCCTCCAGATTTGATCCTGTTCAAGTTCAAATCAAGCTTAAAGTCATATAATAAATAATAAGCCAGAACAAAATGAAGTAGAAATGCATATGTTGTGCCAAAGATACATTCCATCGTTTAATAGTTTTCATTGAAAGAGTAAATCCTGGGACTCAAACAAGTTTGTCAGGCTTGTTACTAGCCTGTGGGCTTGGTTTACATTTCCCGTGGATACCAGCCAGATGGAACATGGTATGTACTTTCCTGTCTTTTGTATATTTGGGGAAGAATGTCTGCCCCATTAGGTAGCTCAAAGTACAAAACCTACAGTAGCCTGAGATCTACCCCTGGCTTCTTCACTGAAAATTCTAATCCTTGAGTTGCCATTGCTCTTTTGACTCATGATTCCATCGAAACTCTGAGCACTTGGTAAGTGAAGCAGGTTAGTGGGAAAAATTAATTCAGGGTCTTGAAAGATGGTTGATTTAATACAATAAATTTAGTTAACCTAAAGTTCAACCCATTTACTTATTCATTTCTAAACAAAACAGAATAGAAAATGTAGCCTATTGGCTTAATTTACATCTCACTATGCTATAAGATTCTTTTTATATCCCAGTTTATATAAATTCATTAATTATATCACCTACTTTTAATACTGAACCCAATATGTTCCTCTTATTGGACCATAAAGGAAAAAAACATAGCTCTATTTAAATTTTCAGAGTCTATTTTTCACACCAAAAAATGTCCAATTATTTCTTATTTAATTATAAGTTCCTGTATTAGAAGAGAGAAGATCTTTAATAATGATACTGCTAAGGGGTTCAGTTAACTTGGCAACATTTTAACATTGTGACCTTTCCTAAACAGAAAGCTATCTAAATTTTTTTAATTTTGTCTTTATATTTTCACAGAATATATGAGTAAAAGGAAACTAAAAGTCACATTCTATAATAACTAGTCTTAGTATGTGAAGAAATTCTAAATATGCTGTAAAGAAGACTTGAAATTGCAAAATGATTGCAAATTATGTTTTCTTTTAACATGGCCTAGGAGTAAGGTATTTTAATAAAGAAATGATTATCATTGATAGAGTATATAGATTAAATATTATCAAAAAATTAGCATTTCCTGAATACTGAAATGATTTGGAAAATAAAATGTAATCTTTCTTTGATAAGTAAGAAAGTATTTTAAAATCTTAAATGTTTTCTGGGGTCAGCACAATAAATATCATTTAACGTGAGTTATCTCACTACTGCCAACATACAGACATCTTTATTTAGAGGAATGCCAGGTTAAAGAGGAACTAATAGGCTGGGCACAGTGGCTCATGCCTGTAATCCCTGCACTTTGGGAGGCTAAGGCAGGTGGATCACCTGAGGTCGGGAGTTCAAGACCAGCCTGGTCAACATAATGAAACCCTGTCTCTACTAAAAATACAAAAAATTAGCTGGGCGTGGTGGTGCACACCTGTAATCCCAGCTACTCATGAGGCTGAGGCAGGAGAATTGCTTGAACCTGGGAGGCAGAGATTTCAATGAGCTGAGATCATGCCGCTGTACTCCAGCCTGGGCAACAAGAGTGAAACTCCGTCCCAAAAAGAAAAAGGAAAAAAAAAAGAGGAACTAATAAACAATATTTGACTAACTATGTGTAACTAACGTAGAACACTTTTAAAAATATGTCCCTCTCTTTTATATTTACATAAACTTCCAATTGTGCAGCTAATCAAAGTGCAATTGTATATAATTATTTTGCTCCCTGCATATTTTCACTACAAAAGTGAGATTTGACAAACAAACATATTCCTTTCTGAAATCCTCATATGACGTTAGGAGCCAAACAAATTAAGAGCCATGTTTCAAATACGCAAAAGCAAATGTAAGAGACTTAATGTCTTCTCTTAAAATGATTCTCAATCTGTTTAAGCAAAGAAAACTTCCCACTCAACTGTAATTGTTAAGAAATTAACCAATTTTAAAATATAAACTAGCAACAAAAACAGACCCAGCTTTTAAAACTATTTAAAGCCATTGAGTCTCGAGAGAAATGTGCTTTTGCAATATCACAAGAGGAAACTTTTTAATTTTGAGGACTTGGAAAGTTTATCTAGTAACTAATATTGATCTATTGACTATAAAGTACAGCTGTTGTATAAATTGACCTTACTAATGTACTTGGTGGCATTCATTGAATGCATTAACACCAACGAGGCATTGAAGTAAAAATACTGACTGGAATATGTGCATCCATTTGGTTCATGATAAAAACTGACACATTCCTAACATTTTAGTCCTAGTGAAATTTCTAAAATGTTAATTTCCTTTTTATTAAAAAATAATTGGATGGGAAACTAATTTGAGGGTAGGGAATAATAAGAACATTCTGCACAAAAAATGCATCAAAAGGAAAGACTATTAAAAACCTACAGCTTCTTGATTATAGAACAATGTTGACAAAAATCAGAACTGCTGCAGAATCATGGCAGAATTTCATAACACCAGTTATCCGAGAAGTAGTTATATAACTGTGTTCTCTGTGATGTCTATATAATTTATATGTGTACTAGCTATGGTTCCATCATCTGTATTGTTACATAAGCTTCCTATTTCTATCTTGGTTTCCTAAAGCCCAACTTTGAAATATATATTTATTAAAATATGGTTATTTTAAAAATTATCTTGTAAGAATATAATGATCAGCTTGAAAAGTTGTATTAGTTAATATTCAAACATTAAAAATAAAACATACTAATATTATATTTTTCTTTTTATTTTCTGTTCTTAATTTTAAAGTAGATAATTCATTCACATGCTACAAGATTCAGAAGCTAATAATATTTTAGGAACTTTTATATATTATTGGGAGACATGACTATGCCCTAAGCAAGTTCTAAAACTAGTGAGTTTTTATTAATAACATGTCTTGCTCCTCTTCCACATCCTGTTACAATATTTCAGCTCTCTAGTTTTAACTCTGTATATGCATCTTCAATATTCTGAGGCATTGCTTGAACCGATAAGCAGAATTTCGTTCTGACATGATTTATAAATGGGGGAGCATTTCAATTTATATTTATAGACGTATGCCATCCTTTATTCTCATGCATTACCTCTTCTGGCCACAAAATGATTATCAAAATAAGTTGCTTCCTGCCAGGCACGGTGGCTCATGCCTGTAATCCCAGCACTTTGGGAGGCTGAGGCAGGTGGGTCGCCTGAGGTCAGGAGTTTGAGACCAGCCTGGCCAACATGGTGAGACTCTGTCTCTACTAAAAATCCAAAAAATTAGCCAGGCATGGTGGCGGGCACCTGTAATCTCAGCTACTCAAGTGGCTGAGGCAAGAGAATGGCTTGAACCCAGGAGGCAGAAGTTACAGTGATCTGAGATTGTGCCACTGCACTCCAGCCTGGGTGAAGGAGTGAAACTGTCTCAAAAATAAAATAAATAAGTTGCTTCCCATCTCTTACAGGGAATAGGGATAAAGAATTTGATATAAAATAGGCAGTGAGCGGTTTGTTGAGGAAGGTATAATAATATTGAAAAATATACCTAGTTTTAAGGTTTTTAGAATAACAAAAATTTGCTTTTCAAAATTTTTAAGAAAAAAGCATACCATAAAGAAACAAATTAAAGATAAATTTAGAAGCACTAAATCTGGCATACTGTCCAAACCCACACTGTTTTAGATAAACAAATTTAGGCCCAGAGAAATTGAGCAGCTTCCTCAAGATCGTCTATTCAATTAATCATAGATCTGAGACTACAATACAGTCTCCGGACCCCCAATTCTGATCTCATTTTGCTGCCAGCATCATCCCTATTGATGCACATTGCCCTTGAATGTCCTGCAATGATGGTATATATTCAAATTACAAGTAGAGGATTCCCTCAAATCTTTATGGGAATAAATAAATAAATAGAGTTATGGAGGAGTTAGTATATCATGGATGATATACTCAGAATAATTTTTTAATTGGGGATGTTTGGGGGCTACTATCAAAATTTCCCCCCCAGATATCCCCTCTCCACTGTATTGAAACTGAACTCTCTAAAGTGATGGTCACATGCAATAAATTGACCTCAAGTTTGACTGTCTTTCAAGGCTGGCAAGCCCCATCACCTGCATTCTGTGATACCTTGTCTTGCCATCCTTTTGGATTCTCTTTTTAGCCTCACTTCCTCTGCTTCCATAATTATAGCTTTTACCTAAGGCCTTCTGCTACACTCTTGAACTTCTCTCTCACTGTGATCCATCCATTTTCACTAGGTCTCTGTAGATGCTTTCAAAATTTTAATCTGCTCTTTTGTTGACTTTCATCCTATGTGATATTCCCAACTGCCCATGGAGAATCTCCATTTGAACACCCTGAGCAAGTATCTCAAATTCAACTTGTCTAATAACGAGTTTATTTTTTCCTCTAAAAAAGATCTCTCTCCTAAATCCTGTGTTTCTGTTGTGCTCTCAATAAATTATGATCAAAACCTTGCAGTCTTCTTTGATCCTTTATCTGTTTACAATACATATCTCATACCTAAACTTAGTGAACTTTTTCAGTTTACCTCATAAACCTCTTTTTTCTCCTACTTCAGTTGTCTCTTATCTATATTATCTAATTTTGAGTTATTACATAAACACTTGATATTTTCTCTCTTGTCCCCTAACTCCACCTTGATCAATAGACTCATTTACATTACCTTCAGATGAATCTTTGTAAAGGGTATTTTAAATCCCTTGACATTCTTCTACTCAAACCCTTCAAATTCCCCCACTCTATATCCAAAGTCTTTAGTCTGACATTGAAAGCCATACACAGCCAACTATTTTCTCATCTTCCATCAACACTGCACAACTAACACTAAATAAAAGTGATCCTATTACAGATTTAGTCCTGAATCACTTTCTCTTACTCATGTCAATTTATTCATTCTGGACTGTTTTCATCCTTGCAGCTTTTACCCCTGCAATTAAACCTCCTTACACTTGATACTGGTCATTCCTTTGCATTTCAACTCTTTAACTGCTTCTCTTCATGCCTTTCTCCTTGACTGCTATCTTTAACCATGGAAAATAAATGTTCTTCTTTATTACAAAACGTTATGTATTAGTTCATTCTCATACTGCTAATAAAGACATACCTAAGACTGGGTAGTTTATAAAGCAAAGAGTTTTGACTCACAGTTCCACATGACTGCGAAGCCACACAATTATGGCAGAAGGCAGGAAAGAGAGCGTGTGCAGGGGAACTCCCCTTTATAAAACCATCAGATCTCGTGAGACTTACTCACTATCCCAAGAATGGCATGGGAAAGACCCACCCTGATGATTGAATTACTTCCCATGACACGTAGAAATTATGGGAGCTACAATTCAAGATGAGATTTGGGTGAGGACACAGCCAAACCATATCACATTAAAACTTGCCACAGAACTTCCACACTCTTTTCTCCACTATCTACTCTAAGACTTTCTCTGTTTACTCAGAAACTTTCTAGACAATTTCTTCTGGCCATGACCCCTCATCACTGGACATATAAGTATGCAATGTTCCTTTTGTAGGCTCAAGCATCTCTATGTTTGATTTGTGTTAACTAATTAACACAAGCCTAGAATGTTTTTCCCAACTTTCTTTGGTGACTGCATTTCAGCTTCACTTCGATACTCATTAAGAGTACCTAAGCATTACCCACAAAAACACTTCCTCTGAAATTCTATAGCAGCCCTGTTAAATAGAAATAAAATGTAAGCCACAAATGTAGAACAGGAATCGAATTTAACACTCTTAGAAACCACATTATAAAAGTAAAACTTAATAAATGAAATTAATTTTAGGTTATATTTTACCCAAAATATTATTTAAATATGAAATTAACGTTAATGAGATGTTTTTACATCTCTTTTTTATTGAGCGATTTTTTTTATTATACTTTAAGTTCTAGGATATATATGCACAATGTGCAGGTTTGTTACACATGTATACACGTGCCACGTTGGTGTGCTGCACTCATTAATTCATCATTTACATTAAGTATTTCTCCTAATGCTATCCCTCCCCAATCCCCCCACCCCACGACAGGCCCTGGTGTGTGATGTTCCCCACCCCATGTCCAGGTGTTCTCAATGTTCAATTCCCACCTATGAGTGAAAACATGCAGTGTTTAGTTTTCTGTCCTTGTGATAGTTTGCTCAGAATGATGGTTTCCAGCTTCATCCATGTCCCTACACAGGACATGAACTCATCCTTTTTTATGGCTGCATAGTATTCCATGGTGTATATGTGCCACATTTTGTTAATCCAGTCTATCATTGATGGACATTTGGGTTGGTTCCAAGTCTTTGCTATTGCGAATAGTGCCACAATAAACATATGTGTGCATGTGTCTTTATAGTAGCATGATTTATAATCCTTTGGGTATATACCCAGTAATGGGATTGCTGGGTGAAATGGTATTTCTAGTTCTAGATCCTTGAGGAATCGCCACACTGTCTTCCACAATGGTTGAACTAGTTTACACTCCCACCAACAGGGTAAAAGCATTCCTATTTCTCCACATCCTCTCCAGCACCTGTTGTTTCCTGACTTTTTAATGATTGCCATTCTAACTGGTGTGAGATGGTATCTCATTGTGGTTTTGATTTGCATTTCTCTGATGACCATTTTATCATGTGTCTGTTGGCTGCATAAATGTCTTCTTTTGAGAAGTGTCTATTCATATCCTTTGCCCACTTCGTGATGGGGTTGTTTGATTTTTTCTTGTAAATTTGTTTAAGTTCATTGTAGATTCTGGATATTAGCCCTTTGTCAGATGGGTAGATTGCAAAAATTTTCTCCCATTCTGTAGGTTGCCTGTTCACTCTGATGGTAGTTTCTTTTGCTGTGCAGAAACTCTTTAGTTTAATTAGATCCCATTTGCCTATTTTGGCTTTTGTTGCCATTGCTTTTGGTGTTTTAGTCATGAAGTCCTTGCCCATGACTATGTCCTGAATGGTACTGCCTAGGTTTTCTTCCAGGGTTTTTATGGTTTTAGGTCTAACATTTAAGTCTTTAATCCATCTTGAATTACTTTTTGTATAAGGTGTAAGGAAGGGATCCAGTTTCAGCTTTCTACATATGGCTAGCCAGTTTTCCCAGCATCATTTATTAAATAGGGAATCCTTTCCCCATTTCTTGTTTTTGTCAGGTTTGTTAAAGATCAGATGGTTGTAGATGTAGATGTGTGGCATAACTTCTGAGGCCTCTGTTCTGTTCCATTGGTCTATATCTCTGTTTTGGTACCAGTACAATGCTGTTTTGGGTTACTGTAGCCTTGTAGTATAGTTTGAAGTCAGGCAGCGTGATGCCTCCAGCTTTGTTCTTTTGGCTTAGGATTGTCTTGGCAATGCAGGCTCTTTTTTGGTTCCATATGAACTTTAAAGTAGTTTTTTTCAATTCTGTGAAGAAAGTCATTGGTAGCTTGATGGGGATGGCATTGAATGCATAAATTACCTTGGGCAGTGTGGCCATTTTCACGACATTGATTATTCCTATCCATGAGCATGGAATTTTCTTCCATTTGTTTGTGTCCTCTTTTATTTTGTTGAGCAGTGTTTTGTAGTTCTCCTCGAAGAGGTCTTTCACATCCCTTGTAAGTTGGATTCCTAGGTATTTTATTCTCTTTGTAGCAATTGTGAATGGGAGTTCACTCACGATTTGGCTCTCTGTCTGTTATTGGTGTATAAGAATGCTTGTGATTTTTGCACATTGATTTTATATCCTGAGACTTTGTTGAAGTTGCTTATCACCTTAAGGAGATTTTGAGCTGAGACGATGGGGTTTTCTAAATGTACAATCATGTCATCTGCAAACAGGGACAATTTGACTTCCTTTTTACCTAATTGAATACACTTTATTTCTTTCTCTTGCCTGATTGCCCTCGCCAGAACTTCCAACACTATGTTGAATAGGAGTGGTGAGAGAGGGCATCCCTGTCTTGTGCCAGTTTTCAAAGGGAATGCCTCCAGTTTTTGCCCATTCTGCATGATACTGGCTGTGGGTTTATCATAAATAGCTCTTATTATTTGGAGATACATTCCATCAATACCTAGTTTATTCAGAGTTTTTAGCATGAAGCGCTGTTGAATTTTGTCAAAGGCATTTTCTGTATCTATTGAGATAATCATGTGGTTTTTGTCTTTGGTTCTGTTTATGTGATGGATTATGTTTATTGATTTGCGTATGTTGAACCAGCCTTGCAACCCAGGGATGAAGTCATCTTGATCTTGGTGGATAAGCTTTTTGATGTGCTGCTGGATTCGGTTTGCCAGTATTTTATTGAAGATTTTTGCATTGATGTTCATCAGGGATATTGTTCTGAAATTCTCTTTTTTTTGTTGTGTCTGTGCCAGGCTTTGGTATCAGGATGATGCTGGCCTCATAAAATGAGTTAAGGAGGATTCTCTCTTTTTCTATTGATTGGAATAGTTTCAGAAGGAATGGTACCAGCTCCTGTTTGTACCTCTGGTAGAATTTGGCTATGAATCTGTCTGGTCCTGGACTTTTTTTTAGTTGGTAGGCTATTAATTATTAGCTCAATTTCAGAGCCTGTTACTGGTCTACTCAGGGATTCAACTTCTTCCTGGTTTAGTCTTGGAAGGGTGTATGTGTCCAGGAATTTATCCATTTCTTCTAGATTTTCTAGTTTATTTGCGTAGAGGTGTTTATAGTATTCTCTGATGGTAGTTTGTGTTTCTGTGGGATCGGTGATGATATCCCCTTTATCATTTTTTATTGCGTCTATTTGATTCTTCTCTCTTTTCTTCTTTATTAGTCTTGCTAGCAGTCTATCAATTTTGTTGATCTTTTCAAAAAACCACCTCCTGGATTTACTGATTTTTTGAAGGGATTTTTGTGTCTCTAACTCCTTCAGTTCGGCTCTGATCTTAGTTATTTCTTGCCTTCTGCTAGCTTTTGAATGTGTTTGCTCTTGCTTCTCTAGTTCTTTTAATTGTGATTTTAGGGTGTCAATTTTAGATCTTTCCTGCTTTCTCTTGTGGGCATTTAGTGCTATAAATTTCCCTCTACGCACTGCTTTAAATGTGTCCCAGAGATTCTGGTACATTGTGTCTTTGTTCTCGTTGGTTTCAAAGAACATCTTTATTTCTGCCTTCATTTTGTTATTTACCCAGTAGTCATTCAGGAGCAGGTTGTTCAGTTTCCATGTACTTGTGCGGTTTTGAGTGAGTTTCTTAATCCTGAGTTCTAATTTGATTGCACTGTGGTCTGAGAGATAGTTTGTTATAATGTCTGTTCTTTTACATTTGCTGAGGAGAGCTTTACTTCCAAGTATGTGGTCAATTTTGGAATAGGTGTGGTGTGGTGCTGAAAAAAATGTATATTCTGTTGATTTGGGGTGGAGAGTTCTGTAGATGTCTATTAGGTCCGCTTGGTGCAGAGCTGAGTTCAATTCCTGGGTATCCTTGTTGACTTTCTGTCTCGTTGATCTGTCTAATGTTGACAGTAGGGTGTTAAAGTCTCCCATTATTAACGTGTGGGAGTCCAAGTCTCTTTGCAGGTCTCTCAGGACTTGCTTTATGTATCTGGGTGCTCCTGTATTGGGTGCATATATGTTTAGGATAGTTAGCTCTTCTTGTTGAATTGATCCCTTTACCATCATGTAATGGCCTTCTTTGTCTCTTTCGATCTTTGTTGGTTTAAACTCTATTTTATCAGAGACTAGGAATGCAACCCCTGCTTTTTTTTGCTTTCCATTTGCTTGGTAAATCTTCCTTCATCCCTTTATTTTGAGCCTATATGTGTCTCTGCACGTGAGATGGGTCTCCTGAATACAGCACACTGATGAGTCTTGACTCTTTATCCAATTTGCTAGTCTGTGTCTTTTAATTGGGGGCATTTAACCCATTTACATTTAAAGTTAATATTGTTATGTGTGAATTTGATCCTGTCATTATGATGTTAGCTGGTTATTTTGCTCATTAGTTGATGCAGTTTCTTCCTCGCATCGATGGTCTTTGCAATTTGGCATGTTTTTGCAGTGTCTGGTACCAGTTATTCCTTTCCATGTCTAGTGCTTCCTTCAGGAGCTCTTGTAAGGCAGGCCTGGTGGTGACAAAATCTCTAAGCATTTGCTTGTCTGTAGAGGATTTTATTTCTCCTTCACTTATGAAGCTTAGTTTGGCTGGATATGAAATTCTGGGTTGAAAATTCTTTTCTTAAAGAATGTGGAATATTGGCCCCCACTCTCTTCTGGCTTGTAGGGTTTCTGCTGAGAGATCTGCTGTTAGTCTGATGGACTTCCCTTTGTGGGTAACCCCACCTTTCTCTCTGGCTGCCCTTAGCATTTTTTCCTTCATTTCAACCTTGGTGAATCTGACAATTATGTGTCTTGGAGTTGCTCTTCTTGATGAGTATCTTTGTGGCATTCTCTGTATTTCCTGAATTTGAATGTTGGCCTGCCTTGCTAGGTTGGGGAAATTCTCCGGATAATATCCTGAAGAGTGTTTTCCAGCTTGGTTCCATTCTCCCCAACACTTTCTGGTGCACCAATAAAATGTAGATTTGGTCTTTTCACATAGTCCCATATTTCTTGGAGGCTTTGTTCGTTTCTTTTTACTCCTTTTTCTCTAAACTTCTCTTCTCACTTAATTTCATTAAGTTGAACTTCAATTACCAATACCCTTTCTTCCACTTGAAGGAATCAGCTACTGAAGCTTGTGCCTGTGTCACATAGTTTTCATGCCATGGTTTTCAGCTCCATCAGGTCATTTAAGGTCTTCTCTACACTGTTTACTCTACTTAGCCATTCATCTAATCTTTTTTTCAAGCTTTTTAGCTTCCTTGCGATGGGTTCAAACATTCTCCTTTAGCTCAGAGAAGTTTGTTATTACCAACTTTCTGAAGCCTACTTCTGTCAACTCATCAAAGTCATTCTCTGTCCTGCTTCGTTCTGTTGCTGGTGAGGAGTTGCGATCCTTTGGAGGAGAAAGGGTGCTCTGGTTTTTAGAATTTTCAGCCTTTCTGCTCCGGTTTCTCCCCATCTTTGTGGTTTTATCTACCTTTGGTCTTTGATGATGGTGACCCACAGATGATGTTTTGTTGTGGATGTCCTTTTTGTTGATGTTTATGATATTCCTTTCTGTTTGTAAGTTTTCCTTCTAACAGTCAGGTCCCTCAGCTGCAGGTCTGTTGGAGTTTGTTGGAGGTCCACTCTAGACCCTGTTTTCCTGAGTTTCACCAGTAGAGGCTGCAGAACAGCAAATATTGCAGAACAGCAAATATTGCTGCCTGATCCTTCCTCTGGAAGCTTCATTTCAGAGGGGCACCCAGCTGTATGAGGTGTCAGTCGGCCCCTACTGGGAGGTATCTCCAAGTTAGGCTACACAGGGATCAGGGACCCACTTGAGGAGGTGGTCTGTCCGTTCTCAGAGCTCAAACACCATGCTGGGAGAATCACTGCTCTCTTCAGAGGTGTCAGATGGGGACTTTTAAGTCTGTGGAAGATTCTGCTGCCTTTTGTTCAGCTATGTCCTGCCCCCAGAGGTGGAGTCTACAGAGGCAGGCAGGCCTCCTTGAGCTGCCATGGGTTCCACCCAGTTTGAACTTCCCAGCCGCTTTGTTTATCTACTCAAGCCTCAGCAATGGCAGACACCCCTCCCCCCAGCCAGGCTTGCCACCTCGCGGTTCGATCTTGGACTAGCAGTGAGCAAGGTTCCATGGGCGTGGGACCCGCTGAGCTATGCGTGGGATATAATCTCCTGGTGTGCTGTTTGCTAAGACCATTGGAAAAGCGCAGTGTTTAGGTGGCAGTGTCCTGATTCTCCCAGTATGGTCTGTCACAGCTTCCCTTGGCTAGGAAAGGGAAATCCCCTGACCCCTTGCACTTCCCCAGTGAGGTGATGCCCCGCTCTTTGGCTCACCCTCCATGGGCTGCACCCACTTTCTGACAAGTCCCAATTAGATGAACCAGGTACCTCAGTTGGAAATGCAGAAATCACCCATCTTCTGCATCAATCACGCTGGGAGCTGCAGACCAGACTGTTCCTATTCAGCCATCTTGGAATGGGCCCCATCTTTTTTTCATTCTAATGTCTGGTGTATATTTTGTATTTATGACAAATCTCAATTCAGACTAGTCACATTTCAAATGCTCATAGCAACAGGTGGCTTATGGCTACAATAATGGACAGTAAGGTCTATGGCAATTGTTAATTGGTTTGGTATTTTGCATATGCTGGTTTGAAATGTTAATGACTTTTAGTGAATAGATGACTAGATTCTAGACTGTCAGCTGCTAGAGTATGGGAATAGCTAGAGCCGGAATATAAGTATTCAGTGCTTGACACAAACAATCTAACAGTAAATAAGCATTATGTTAAAAAGACTATTATAATACTGTGATAAGGGTGACAATAGAGATGGGATCACAGTGCTAGAGTGGCTCCATAGCTCTCTACTCCTCCCCCATACCTCTCAAACATGACTCCATTAAGTTGTACCCAAGTGTAAAGGGCTGGCAAAGGAATCGTGACCAACTCAACATTCCACTGGAGTCTATATGATCAAACAGAAAACTGTTTATTATGAATGGAGGATATGGGCAAAATCACATCTGCTCCAGCTGCCAGAAGTTTTGCTGAAGGCAATCACCCCCTGGTGCCATGCTTCTTGAGGTTATCTACTGGGATATCTAGAGCCTATTGTTCAAAGAATGCAGTCTTGCAAGCCTGCTGTTAGTCAAACTGCTGACCTACAATCACCCCCCTTCTTGCTATCTCTTTCACCTAATAAATACAGAAGGCTGAAAAAGCTCAGGGCCTTTGTTCACTAGAAGCAAGGAGCCCCCTGACCCCCTTCTTCCAAATATACACTTTTGTCTTTATCTTCATTCCCACATTCATCATCCTTTGTTCAGTCCACCAGGAATTGAGGTCGGCGACACCCAAGGAAAAAAGTAAGGCACTAGCCCAATAATTTTACAAAGTATTAATATATATGTATATAATACTTGCTAAAAATGAGAGGAGTATAAATATCTCAGAACTAAGGCAAACTCATCCAGTATGCAAATAAAATTTAAAATGAGACCTGAAAGGAATGTAAGAAAAGAGAAAACAGGAGAAGAAAAGAGTGTTCTAGGCAAAAAGAGCAGACTGTGTAAGGACCATGAGGTAGAAAAAAAATCAAATAAGGACCTTGAGAAGCTCCATAGAGCCTAAGGCCTGAGCATGACATTGGCATAATACACAGGGTTGCATTTAAAACTTGAAGAAAGTCAAAAGCCGTGAAAAGGTAGTCCATTTGCTTATTTTTGCTTTTGTTGCCTGAACTTTTAATATAATATCCAAAACATGGTTGCAAGGCCAATATCACAGAGATTTTCCTATGTTTTCTTCTAGTAGTTTTATGGTTTCAGGGATTACATTTATGTCCTTAACTTGTTTTGGGCTGATTTTTGTGTATGGTGTGAGGTAAGGGTCTAGTTTCTTTCTTTTGCATGTGAATATCCAGTTTTCTAAACAGCATTTATTGAAAAAACTATTCTTTCCCCATTGTGTCTTCTTGCAGAGCTTGTCAAAAATTAGTTGCCCATATATGCTAGGGTTTATTTCCGGCCTCTCTATTCCGTCCAGTTAGTCTGTGTGTCTGTTTTAATGTCAACATCATACTGTTTTGGTTACTATAGCTTAGTAATATAATTTGAAATCAGAAAGTATGATGACTCCATCCTTGTTTTTCTTTATGGAAATTGTTTTCAGGGCCTTTTGTGGTTTCATACAAATTTTAGAATTGATTTTTTTATTTCTACGAAAAATGCACTTGAAATTTTGATAGAGGTTGCTTTGAGTCTGTATAATGCTTTAGGTAGTATGGACATTTTAACAATATTAATACTTCCTGTCCACGAGCATAGGGTATCTTTCTATTTCTGTGTGTCTTCTTAAACTTCTTTCATCAATATTTTACAGCTTTTAGCATGCAGATATTACACTTTCTTGGTTAAATTTATATCTAAGCATCTTAATTTTTTGATGCTATTGCAAGTGAGATTATTTACTTGATTTCTTTTATGGACAGATTATTATTAATGAAAAGAAATTCAATTTTTTTGTATGTTGATTCTGCATCCTGCTACTTTTAGGGTTTTCTACATGTGTCATTGACAAAAAGGGATAGTTTTACTTTTTCCTTTCCAATTTGGATGTCTTTTTTTTTTTCCTGTCTTATTGTTCTTGCTAATATTTCAGCCCTTTGTTGAATAGAAGTGGCAAGAATGGGCACCCTTGCCTCCTTGCCTGGTCCCTGATTTTAAAAGAAAAGCTTTCAGTTTTTCCTATTGATTAGATTAGCTGTGTGATTTTCATAAATGGCCTTTAGTATGTTGAAGAAAAAATTTCTAGCTATATTTTGTTTAGAGTTTATATCATGAAAGAACATTAAACTTCTTTGAACTACATCAAACTGAAAAGCTTCTGTACAGCAAAGGAAACAATCAACAAAAGGAAAAGTCAGCCTATTGATCAGGAGGAACTATTTTCAAACAGTATATCTGATAAAAGATTAATAAAGACATAGGGAATTCACACAGCTCAATCTCTCTCTCTCTCTCTCTCTCTCTCTCTCTCTCTCTCACACACACACACACACACACACACAGAGATAATAGAATTTAAAAATATGCAAAGAACCTGAAAAGACATTTTCCCAAAAAAGACGCAAAAACAGCCAACACACATATAAAAAGGTGCTTGACATCTCTTATCATCAGGGAATGCCAATCAAAATCATAATGAGATATCACCTCACACCTGTTAGGATAGCTATGATCAAAAAGACAAGAGATAATACATATTGGCAAGGGTGTGGAAAAAAGGGAACGTCTGTGCACTGTTGATGTGAATGTAAATTGGTACAGCCATTATAGAAAACAATATAGAAGTTCCTCAAAAAATTGAATATTGAATCACATGACCAAGCAATCCCTCTGCTGTGTATATACCCATAGGAAGTGAAATCAGCACCTTGTAGTGATATCCACACTCCCATGTTCATAACAGCATTATTCAGAATAGCCAAGTTATAGAAACAACCTAAGTGTTCATCAACGTATAAATGGATAAAGAAATTGTAATTTATAAATACAAGGGAATATTAATCTGACTTAAAAATGGAGGAGATAGGCAACAACATGGACGAACATGGAGGACTTTATGCTAAGTGAAATAACCCAGACAGGCAAATATTACATGACCACACTTACATGTGGAATCTAAAAGTAAATTAAATACATAGAAACAGAAAGTAGAATAGTGCTTACCAGGTGTAAAGGAGGACAAGGAAATGGGGAGATGTGGGTCAAAAGGGTACAAAGTTGCTGTTATACAGGAGGAAGAGTCTAGAGATCTAATGTACAGAAGAAAAGACTGTAGTTAGTAATATGGTATTGTATACTGAAAGTTTATTACCACACATGCGCACGTGCACGCGTGCACGCGTGCACACACACACACACACACACACAACTGAACAGTAATAGATATGTTAATTCACTTACCTGTAGCAATCATTTTAATATGTGTATATATATATAATATTGTACATCATAAATGTGCACAATACAAAAAGCAGTGAAAATGGTGAAAATGTGCTTGTGCCTGTCAGGAATCTCCTGTGAATGGACATGTCACAAATTTAGGGGCTAAGATTTTAAAAAGCATCAAGGTCCTGTCTTAATGAGTTTTCTCCAGGTTTTACACTCTTCCCAATTCCATAATCTTTGGGAGATATGACAGAACTAAAAGCTTCTGCATTCTCTTCCCCAAAATAGGGTTTTATGAGATGACATCTGAGGGAGAGTGAAGTTAGTCACACTTGATGGATATTTGAGAAGTCAGAAGTGTTACAGTATCATGTTTAATCACAAGAAGTTCCTCAATTAATTGTCTTGCTAGTAAGCACTAAATGAAAATAGCTGAAGATCTAGTCCTATATTGCAGAAATCTATGTACTAAAATATGAACAGGAAGCCTAAGAATAGAGCTACAGACAAATAAAACATCTGTATGAAAGTTCTAAATTTCCAAATTTCCAATTAATTAAATGTAACAGAAAAAAAGTCATGGCCATGTTGCTACAATTATTTATTTTTAATTTGCATCTCCTACACTCCCAAAGTCAATGGAAAAATATCTAACGGCTACAGTGGTGTGATCACAGAAAAAAAAGCAGTTTCCATTTTTGAGTTTCTGCTTCCTATTATTCAGACGCACTTTGGAATTTTTTCTCCACAATTTAAATCTTGGTTGCTGCCCTGTTACTTAGCCAACATTGCATGATTTTAATTGAGTGTGGCTGTATCTCAGAGGGAAAGGGCACCAAATTTGTAAAGCAAACATCATACCAGCATGGCTCAAGGCTTGCTATTTGTTCTCCTGGCTGATTTACAATTTCCAGATATATAAGAAACTGAATCATTATGGAATCAAAGTCCCTATTAAAATGCTGTGTTTATCACATGAATCAGCAAGATGCAGTAAGTTAATATTGGCTTCCCAACACAATGAATCAATGGAGTATTTTGAAGTTATATATTTAATTTCTTGTTCAGTTGTATTGTGGGTTTATTCAAGGGTTGCATAATCACTCAATGAGCCTACTATTCTGGGTCCAGAACTCCTGGGATACTCTCCAAAACAGTGTTCTCCTTCATCAAGATAGTTTATTACTAGTATGTTATATAACCTAACAGCCTAAGTAATTATTGAAACAACATTTTTCTCCATGAAATTTAAAATCTACCAAACTTCAAAGTCAAAATAAGTAACTCATTTTTTCCTATAAATACAATAGACTAGAACTAGCCACAACTCCAATAGAGTCAACAATGACAATAAGGACATAAAAGAATAAACTGAGCACCATTGGTGATACAGCTACTCAAAAGCCTTTTCTTCTTTGCTTTGCCAACAAGGCGCCGATTTTTTTGACTTGATAATGAGCCTTAAAGTCCATGCCCTTCTAGATTTTCTTGCAGCTGGGGGTGACCATGTGTTTACACAGTAAGACAGTTTGAATTCTTAGTGAGGTTTCCAGTAAAGCTATTGTTTTCCCGAACGTTAAAAAAAAAGAAAAAAAGAAAAGAAAAGAAAACACAAGAAAAGAAAAGAAAAAAAAGGGAGAGAGGGATAAAGGGAGAGAGAGAAAGAAAAGACTTTATCTTTTTTTCCTGCCTGGCACTGAGAAGTAGGGGCTGGCTGTGAAACAGCTATTCTATAACATTGAGATGGAGCAACAAATAGAATGATCTGCATCCTTAATGATGATCCTTTTGAGCAGCTGTGCCTGGGTTCTGGACATCCTCCTTGCAGATATCTTATTATTTAAGAAGAAGAACCCCCTTTATGTTCACGGAAGAGTGGTCAGAATTTTGTGACATGTGGCTGAAAGAAATACAAGTGATATATAGTTGACCCTTGAACAACACAAGTTCGAACTGCACAAGTTGAATTATGTGCAGATTTTCTTTTGCCTCTGCTGCTCCTGAGACAGCAAGACCAACCCCTCCTTTTCATCCTCCTCCTCAGCCTACTCAACATGAAGATGGTGAGGCTGAAGACCTTGATGATGATCCACTTCCACTTAATAAATAGTAAAAATATTTTTTCTTTATGACTTCCTTAACAACATTTTCTTTCTCTAGCTTACTTTATTGTAAGAATATGGTGTATAATACATATAATATAAAAAACATGTTAATCAACTGTTTATGTTATCAGTAAGGCTTCTGGTCAACAGTAGGCTCTTAGTAGTTAAGTTTCTTGGGAGTCAAAATTATATGCAAATTTTCAGTGCATGGAACGTCAGTGACCCTAACCCTCATGTTGTTCAACAGTCAACAGTAATACCTGCTCTATGTGTCCAGTGCCTTTGTGTTGCACCAGCTCAGGGAAAATCATTTACTTGTGTCTGGTACAACCCAGTGGGCCTGTAGCTCCCACACACTACATGTGTCCTGGGGATTTAAAGATTCATGAAGTATGGATTCTCCCTCTCAGGAACTTAGAACCTAATAAGTAGAGACAAATTTGTAAATAGTTACAATATAATGCTACCTGGGAAGTCAGGGTTTCATAAAGTGTGCTCCCTGGGACAGCACTTAAGTTAAATTTGCCTATGATCACACAAGTTTGGGAAACTTACTGTATCTTAAAGGCTCTGACGTGTCCTGTAGCAAGTAGTCTTTTTAACTTTCTTTGACCTACTGTTTCTTCAAACTATATAATAATAAAACCATTTTCCCCCTGAGGCAGTGCCTCTTACTGTTCAAAGAAACATATTTGAGGAAATGTTTTATTTAGTGATTTAACACAGTTATAACTTCAGTGTTATGGCAAATGTTATCTGTGGAAATAATTCAGTCATCTTTTAATTATTCACAAATTAGTCCCACTGCTGTGGGTTGAATTGTGTAACCCCAAAATACATGTTGAAGTTTTAACCTCCCATATCTTGAAAGTAACCTTATTTGGCAATAGGGTCTTTACAGATGTAATTAAGAGATAAACTAAGAAGAAGTCATACTGGACTAGAGTGTGCTCTAAATCCAATCATAGGGGCTTTTATAAGAAAATCACTGGTGTCCTTAGAACAGAGGACACAGAGGCACACAGAGCAGAATGCCATGTGATGACAGAGGCGAGATCTGAGCGATGTGGCTGCAAGCCAAGGAACACTAGGATTGCTGGCCACAACCAGAAGCCAGGAGAGAGCCAGAGAATAGATTCTCTACCTGAGCCCCCGAAAGGAACCAGCCTGGATGACATCTTGATTTGGACTTACAGTCTGCAAAGCTATGTGGGAATAAATTTCTGTTGTTTTAAGCCACTTAGTTTGTGGTACATTGTTATCTCAGCCCTAAGAAACTGACACAATATCCTACTTCCTATTTGGCTTCTCTCAATTCTATTTGTACTTGAAACTTTTCGTGGTACTTTCTCTCCAAGTCTAGCAGCTGCAGGATGGGAAAGGAATGGCTTGAAGTCCAGAAGAATTTGAGCCCTGGCTCAGCCTGTTTTTAACTCCTTGAATTCAGGCCAGTTACTCAGATGGTCTGAGTCTGTTTTCTCAGCTATAAAATAGAGATTAAAAACTTTCATTCATTCTTTAATTCATCCATTCATCTGACAAGTATTGATTGAATAGTAACTGTTTGTCAAGCACAGTGTGAGGCTTGGGGATTTATTTTTTTTGAGGATTAAACGAGATGAATGTGAATATACTTTAACATTTGTACCTCAAAATACAAACCAAGGTACTATTATAAGTAGGATTAGATGTATTGATGAGAATCAAAGTTCTCGTTCCCTCTGGTCAAACTGGTAAATATTTGGTTAAAAAAATGGTTGCTGGTATTTCAAAGGACTGGAAGGAGAAACCCTTGGATGATCATAAGAGGGAACAGGATATGAGAAATTCATGAATTTATTCATTACTCATTCAACAAAGCAGACCTGGTTATATTCCTCAGAGTTTAGCCAAAGCCCACCATCATGTATTGTCATTGAGATGGTTGATAATTGTGTTTTTTTTCTCCAAAAAGAGACAATATGAACAGTCATGTTTACTCATTAAGTAGTAGATATAAAAAATAATCTTGGTATATCAAGGAGAAGGTAAAGTAGCTACTGGTGTTACATTGGCAAAACATGTAATAGAACAGAAGAGAAAAAATTATATGAAATATCTTGTAAGTCATGCAGCTGAATATTTGAAAGTTCAAGTCACTGGTACCTACATGTGCACAAATAAAAGTGTAAAAAACCCTCCTTAGGAAATCTTTCAGGAGTTATCTTCTGATTTCTCTTGAGACCACCCGGCCATTTGAAAGACTACTCCCTCCACAGTTAGAAGGCTTGACTTTCCAACTCTCATAAAGTGAGCAGCCGGCCAGGCGCGGTGGCTCACTCCTGTAATCCCAGCGCTTTGGGAGGCCGAGACGGGCGGATCACGAGGTCAGGAGATCGAGACCATCTTGGCTAACACGGTGAAACCCGTCTCTACCAAAAGTACAAAAAATTAGCCAGGCGTGGTGGCGGGCGCCTGTAGTCCCAGCTACTCGGGAGGCTGAGGCAGGAGAATGGCGTGAACCCGGGAGTAGGAGCTTGCAGTGAGCCGGAGATCGCGCCACTGCACTCCAGCCTGGGTGACAGAGCAAGACTCCGTCTCAAAAAAAAAAAAAAAAAAAAAAAAAAAATGAGCAGCCAAGAATAAGTGCTGCCCCATTAAAACTTTATGAAGTGACGTAGAGCCTGTTTTTTTTTTTTTTTTTTTTTTTTTTTTTTTTTTTTTCAGAAATCAGCTATGCAGCTACTCCGTAGTAAAATTCCCATGCGAAGGTACATTACTACTGGTCTTCTAAAAAAGACTGCTGGAGTGTGGAAAGAGTCACAGAGAATGAGCTCTGGACACACACCTTGAGCAGCTGGATCCACTGGCTTAACTCTTGGACTTCCAGCCTCATGAGTCAATAAATTCCCCTCTCCCTTTTTCCCCCAAAGTTAAAAAAAAAAAAAGACACAAGAACAAATACTAAAATAATGATAGTATGTGTTTGTGTAAATAATACACAAAGCTTTAAGGTTGCTTTTTAAATATTGTTTGTAATAAAAAGACATCCAGCTATTACAGAACTTAGTGTATTAAGATTTTAATATCACAACCTACTTTTTTTATGATATAAACTTTATTTTTTTTTTAAAAGCTTGGCAATGATCTGTTCAGGAATCAAGGAAGAGTAATCATACCTCCAAATCTTGCCAGCAGTAATTCAAAATAAACTACCTAATCAGCAAGAGGAGATTTGTTTCATGGACTCTGAGGGAATTCTGGCAAACAAGTCTCATAAGTTTAATCAGCATCAAAAAATTGTAAGGGAAATATAGTAGCATGAATAATATTTAACTCTATCTATTCTGAACCATCTCACAATTGTATTCATAAGTTGTCCTAAAACCATCCATAGCTGTGAAGCTTTTCTGCTATCATATCCCAAACACCAGACCCTTCTCTTTAACACCTCCATGATAGTCCTTACAGGGTTGACTGGTTGAGCTAAAACTGAAGTGGGTTAATATGGTTTGACGGTGGGAAAGATATTATAGAACTGAGCAGTAAGAGACAATTTAAGAGCTAGTATGTTCTACTTAGAGATGACAAAGGTACATAAGGGAATATGATCAATTGGAGAAAACATGAGAATGCCGGGCACAGTGGCTCAATCAAGCCTGTAATCCCAGAACTTTGGGAGGATGAGGCAAGTGGATCCCTTGAGCTCAGGAGTTTGAAACCAGCCTGGGCAATATGGTAAAACTTTGTCTTTGCAAAAAAGTATAAAAATTAGCCAGGCGTGGGGGTGCGCACCTATAGCCCCAGCTACTTAGTGGCTAAGGCATGAGGATTGCTTGTACACAGGAGGTGGAGGACACAGTGAGCTGAGATCATGCCACTGCACTCCAGCCTGGGTGATCAAGTGAGATCCTATCACAAAAACAAAAACAAACACATGAGGAATTATTAGATCTAGAAGGATCTAGAAGATTTTGTGTGTTCACATGCACACATAGATATTCAGCTAAAAAGAGATACATAAAAAATAATAAGATCATGTCTTTTGCAGGAACATGGATGGAGCTGGAGGCTATTATCCTTAGCAAGCTAATGCAGGAACAGAAAACCAAATACCGCGTGTTCTCACTTATAAGTGGGAGTTAAATGATAAGGACCTATCAACACAAACAAGGAAATAACAGACACTGGGGTCTACTTAAGGGGGAGGGTGGGAGGAGGGAGAGAAGCAGAAAAGATAACTATTGGGTACTGGGCTTAATACCTGGGTGATGAAATAACGTGTACAACAAACCCCCATGAAACATGTTTACCTATGTAACAAACCTTCACAGGTACGCCAAAACCTAAAATAAAAGTTAAAAAATGGTTAAAAGAAAGTTAAAAAAAGTTTAAAAAGTTAAAAAAATCTAAAACATAAAAAAGAGATACAAATATCACAAACTAATTTTTCATTTCAAACCCTTAACTTCAATTATAAAATGTTAGTGTTGAAAAAAACACAAGAGATGATCTAATTCATTTTTCTCATTTCACAAGTGAGTAAACAAGGACAGGAAAGGCGAGATTACTCATTCAAGGCCACCAAGTGTGCAGAGTTGGTTGGACTTAGGCAGGCTAGATCCTGAAGAGTCCATGAATAGGAAGAGAGCCTTGACGTGGGTAAGCTTATGTTTCTGGAGAAAGTCCTTCCCCATTTCCTGTCTTCTTCCTGTAGGCCAGGTACTTGTCAGCTTGTATATCACCAGCCCTTAGGTTCTCTACCCATATGCTCTTAATGACAGTCCAAAGGGTCCACATTTGTTTGTTTACTAGAAAGCAGATGGCCAACTAACAGGAAACCCTAGAAAACCTTTACTTATCTATGTACATCCAACATTTGCAAAGATGTGTTCCCTTTGTTTACAGTATTTGATTGCTTGATGAGAATCCAGAGGTATTTCATTCCCTTTCATTAGTATTTCCTTCTTGTACACTTAAAATTCTGCATTGTCCAAGAAGAAATGTACTTTAAAATGTACATGAAAAGAACTGAGGTTTGTTTAATTTAATGAACGGAGGTTCATTTGATTTAAATGTCACCATTAAGGTGGGTTTGTTTTCTAAGTGTTTCTTTTTTTTCTATCTATTGCTCATAGCTATTTTTTTTTTAAAGTAAAGGATTTTTGAACTCAGCGTCATCAATATGATAAAATAAGGACACCAGCACAGGGCTGGTGTGTTTTGAGGCCCCTGGCTTGAGAGGTGTCTTGTCGTCTTACTTTTTCTCCCGAGGCTTGGGCTTTGAAGAGAACAAAGTAGTTCTGGAGTTTCTCTCCCTTCCCCAGAGTCATTATTATCTGAAGAGCAAAGAAAATAAAGGAGAATGTTGCTTCACCGCAGCACTTCTCAATCTTTCATGCTTGTTTCATCTTGTGGTAGTGGTGGCAACGTTCCAGGCTATGGGGAAAATAGGCTCTTATATGGTGTGCTTAAGCAAAGAGTAATTCATTAATACTAACACAGATGAGTACATAGGAAATAAAAGAAATAAACAAAAGGAAGACGCCCTTTAGGCCTGCTAGCAACAATAAAGCCACTATTTCCTGCAGAACCACTCCTAAGAAACAGCATTCTCTCTCAGGTACCTTGTCCCTAGAATTTCACACCCTCTATTGCTTTTTTTTCCCAGCCTCAGTGTAATCCTAAGTGAACTATAATCTTAAGTCACAACAGAAGATTAGAATAAGATGTATGTAATATATGTTATTTACTGAACTCACATCAGCTATAATTGCTTTATGGAGATTCTCAAATTTGAAACATGTTCAGCTTTTCAGGCTTGCATTACAAATTCAATATAAAAATTCCTATTTGGTGATTTTTATTCAGTCAGTCTTTAAGGAGAGAAGATTAGCAGCAGCTGCTTTTTTTTTCTTTCTCAGATACCTGACGGTTACCCTTTCCACACAAAACTTTTCTTTAATTTTAACATTCTTTAAGTGGAAATCTTTCTAAAGTGCATGTAATAAGTTTCCATGACCCTACCAGTAGGGAAAACAAAATGTAATTTAATTCTTCACTCTTCTCAGGATTATTAAAGCAGGTCCTGGTTCTCCATATGAAGACATTTCTTTGTCACAGAGCAGCATGGCCGTTGATAAGTGAATTGGGGCCAGACAAGCAGTTGCTAGGTAGAAGAGATCTTTCTGAGTCTCTGAGCCACTGGTCATCAAATACTTGGCATCAGGTCAGGACGGACAAGTGGAGCCCTGATATGGCTGTTCTCAGAAGTTCTGGGAAGGAGTCCTATTTAACTCCTCCAGAGCAAAGGCTTGGCGTGTGACCACAGCTACACCCAGAATTACAGATGGGGCTGTCTCATGATTCTGTGGTAAGTTTGCTTCTTTACTTGGCTGCTGCTGCGCAGTATGTCATTTACTACCCACAAGCAGTGAAAGAGGACTTCTCCTGGCTCCTTTTTAAGTGTGTGCATACAATGCAAAACCAAGTCTTCTGAGTGCCAAGTATAACTGGATAAAGGATAATGAATGAAATAAGATAATCTATTTTCTAAAAATACCTGAATAATACAACCCAAAGAATGTGCTCTACTTTCAAGCTTATGGAAATTCCAAGTAAATGTAATAATCCCCACCCTTGAGTTAAATGGGTAAAGTTACAAACATATTTTAAAGTACTAAAAACTGATCCAAACTTAATCAAAGCACTGATTGCTTTATGGTTTGGGGCAAAGGATTAATCTTTGAAGAATACAGATACTATAAATAATTAAAATCTTTACAAGGCAGATACTAATTTAAATTTCTTCATATTTGTGGGTATAGTTCTCTAGAAATATATTTTGTTGACAGACATTGATACTGATACCAATATCAGTAAGAAAATATTTATAAGAAAACATAAACAAAGGAAATTTGTTCATAACATTTACAAATGTTATAATTCACACTATCAAACCTTCCTTTCCCAAGTTCTGGAATTACATACTAGCTCCAATTTTATTTTTTCAATATTATGTGCATTTTACAATTTTTTTTTTTACCATTTTCCTATCTTGGCTCCTTTTTTCCTAATGAATGAAGCTCATATGCCTTATCTTAGTGTTGTTAACCTTATCCATTCTTTGGCCCTAACTTATGTTTCTAACTTAATTTCTAATCCTCATTTTACAAAACCAAAATTCTTGTATTATTAGACCTTTCATCATTTGTTGAGGAAGCTTTGCACTGTCCTTGCACCATTTCTAATGTCACCTTCTATATGGAGCCTCTGTGACCCCTCCAGGCAAAAGGGATTGGTCCTTTATCCAAATTTCCATAGCCCTTTGTACTTCCCATGTGGCATCCATCATGTATTGTGCTATGTTATTATCTGCACACATCCTATCTCATTAGATTGTAGCAGAATATGGGCCATTTGCCCACATGGATGAGTATCATTCATGTTACCTAGCATAGTGCCTTCTATATACAAAATGCAAGATAATAGGATGATATTATATATGTATTGAGTCAGATCCCTTTCAGTTGCAAAATAACAGAAATGCAGTCCAAGACGGCTTAGTCTCTAAAAAGGGAATTTACTGGATCATATAAATGCATAGTTTAGGGATGCAGTTGATCTCAAGTATAAAAAGATTGAGGAGCTCAAAGAATGTCCTTATAGTTCCCTCTCTCTTCATGTCTCTACTCTTTCTATACCCATTTCACTTCATTGTTCAAGGAGGTATTTTTCACATGGTGGTCAAGAAAGGCAAAAGCAGCCTCGTCTCTCATATTCCAAGAAAGACAGTCATTGGCTTTGCTTGGCTTTCATGTAGTCACACCAGATAAAGAATGAGAGCCTAATTTCTCATGAAATACAAATACAAATGATAATAGTTTATAGTTTATAGTTTTTGTAGTAAAAAACTATAAAATTACACTATAAATTACAGATTAAATTAACTTTTTAAGGACCTTCACAGATTAACGTAAGAGTTACCTTTACAATTTTTTAAATCTCAGTGAAAATATCAAATCAACGAACATGTATTGTATGGCTTTGTATTATGTTCAAGGGGTACAACCGATAGAAAAGCTGACATTTCAACCACTGAGGAATCACGGTCTAGTTGGTGGCTGACAAAATGTAAGGCATAACAAATGAATGAATATAAGAAATGATATTGTCCAAGTGTTAAATATTTCAGCACAGATTATAACCTTAATAGTAACTCAAGAAAGAAAGAATGATTGTGGAATAGAATAATCGTTGAAGATTTTGTGGAGACAGCGAAAGCTGTTTTGATTAAAGAAGGATGAATTGTTTTTGAATTGTTGGAAAAGGGTGGGAAGAAAATATGATTGAAGGAAGGAAAGAGAATGAAATCGTTTAGAGGTAAGCATTCTATCTGCAGAGACTTAATTGTAGACTCACTTATAACGGATAATTTAAGTTGAGAGTAAGATTAGATGGTGGAAGTAGGTTAGCTTAAAGAAGGCTTTGAATCCTGGGTTCATGAGTTTAAATTTGATCTCGTTATTACAACTTTATTGTATGCAGGTTTTAAAAAAATGGAAATGGCAATTCAGCTGCAGGTGATGATGTGAAAGGAGGACAGAAGCTATAATATTTCTGCTGTGAAATAGGGGCCACTACTTACATTTATACAGGTTGTGCAGTGCACAACCCTACTGGGCACCAATCACATTGCAGTTGAATGGTGTCTCCTAATATTGTGCAGTGCCTGAATTTTTAAACAATATATGGCCCATCCATATGACTTTCAAGAAAAAAAGAACACACCAATTTGACCAATGTGGAAGATAAGCAGATGCTATGTAGAAGTTGGAGAGAAGGTTGAAGAGGAAAGTGAAGACTAGATTATAGAATACCTTGAATGTTAGGCTAAGAAATATGAACTTTATCTTGTGTTTAATGCAGGGCAGAGTTTGGGAAAGCCACTGGGAAATTGTGAATAGAATAGCAAAGTTACAATTAGTGTTTCAAGAAAATTAAATTTGGCTACAGTATTCAGGATAGATTCTAGGGACAGAAATTGGCAAAGTAGAGAACTGTTAGAAGATTGTTAGAGTAGTGCAGAAAAAAGTGGGCCATAGGCACAAGAGTGATTTGAAGGGTATTTTGAAGAAATAGAAGGAGAAAGAAAGGCAAAAAGGGTGAATGTCTTACAAAAGAAACACATAACCTGGGACTTATTATCATTATTGAGGTAGAGAGTAAAGGACAAAATTATATATTTTTTCAAATCATTCTCAGTGACTATGCTGCTGGAAGTTATATAACTCTTTACATTTTGCAGCGTTTTCAAATATATTATCCATTTGGATATAGATAATTTTTGAAATCATGAAGTAAAGCAATTTCCTAAGCTTATACAAAAGGTTCACATATCTAAAAAATAGAAATTGTTATCACGTACAATAGAATATTGTAACGACAGACTTACCTATGTTTATCTAGATGAGAAAAAAAATGAATGGGCAGTGATCCCAGCGTGTCTAAAACCCACCTTTTTATAAGCCCTGGATTTTATGCCTTGTAACACTCCAGGGAGCTGTTCCTTGTCATTCCTTTTCCCATCACTAATCTTCACCTCAGCACTTTCTAAAAGCTTTCTTTGACTCTATTTCCATCCTATGTCATCTCTTCACTTCCCATCAATCTAAGCTGCTGACAGAGTAGTGTATGTTTCATGTCTCTATCTCCTCTCCACTAAGTCACTTCTCAACCCTTTCCATCTCTGCAATTGCTCTTCCTGAATATAACATGAATCTTCTGTTTGCTATGTCTGTTGAACACTTTTCAATATTTACCACGTATAACCTCTCTGCAGTGAATGATACAATTTTCCTTTGTCTCATTTTTAAAACTCCTACCTTGACTTCCTGGTCTCATTCTGCCTTATTTTGCCTCTGTGCCATTAACTTTCTTGTCTTTTCACGTTAACAATTTTCCAGAGCTCCATTCTTCACCATCTACTCTTCTTATTATGCATACTTTTTCTGAGAAATTTTATCCACTCTCTCTAAAGCTTATATACTACTAGCTCTCAATTCTATATCTTTAATCCAGATCAAAAGCCATGATGTATAATTGGATACCCTGTACCTGCTTCATAAAACATGCCTAGCACCTAACTTCTTAGATGTGCCTCAAATCTGTTCTTCCTTCCATACTCTCTCTAGAAAGTATGGAGCCACCATTCATGCAAGGATCTAAAGTAGAAAACAGAAAGCTGTCTTTGATCCTTTCTTTCATTTTTATCCTCCACATGATGGTCAATTTTATGTGTCAATTTGACTGAGTCACAGGTCAGTCAGATATTTGATTAAACATTTCTCTGGGTGTGTTTCTGCCTGACTCTCTTCAAACTGGAATATCAGTGTTCACACAAGACATCACTCTTCTGCCTTCACACTTAGACTCGGACAGGAACTTGTATTATCAGCCCTCCTGATTCTCAAGCCTTTGAGCTCAGACTGGAACTATACCATCCGCTCTCTTGGGTATCCGGCTTGCAGACTGCAGATCTTGGGCATTTCTGCCTCCATAGTCCCATGAGCCAATTCCTTCTAGTAAATGTATTTCAATAAGGAAAAATATATATCCTATTTCTTCTATTTCTTTGGAAAACCCAGACTAACACAGATTTTGGTATCAAGAGTGATTGTAGAGGCATTGAATTTTAAGAATGAGTTTTCTGAATTGGCTCTGGGTTTTCTGGAGTTGGCTCTTGCTATGACCTGAATGTATCACCCCAAAATATTGAAACTTAATCCTCAGTGTAATAGTATCAAGAGATAGGGACTTGAAAAAAGTGATTAAGTCATGAGGGCTCCACCCCCATCAATAGGATTAGTGCCCTCATGATAAGAACTGAAAGGCACGTTTTCTCCTATGTTATGTTAAGATGCAGCAAGAAGATGCCATCTTTAAAGTAGAGAGAAAGCTGTCACAAGAAACTGAATCTGTTGGTGCCTTGGTTTTGGACTTCCCAGACTACAGAACTGTGAGCAATAAATTTCTGTTGTTTATGAATTACCCATTCTAAGGTATTTTGTTGTAGCAGCCTGAATGAACTAAAACAGCTCTCTAATATTGTTAGATTTAAATATTTTAATGACCATGTCCAGTAGTAAAGTAATCGATGATCGTTCACATGATCTCGCAACAGAGATACGCAACATACCTCCATTGGATACTCATAGTCAACTACTCATAAGAAGCAAGGAGCTAGGTGACTGTGTATATGATGCTTACAAACATTTTGGAAATCTAACAGATATAATAAGGCTAACTGATTGTTCCTAATGCAGCTGGACAAAGTGGTGAAAGAAAATGATGAGCTCAGGGATTCCAATTCTCAACTCAGGTGCATTTATATGATCTGAAAAGCATCTATGTGTGCCCAAAGGAGACTCTTATCTCACAGTTCCAGGGCTCAGATTACTGAAAATCAAATGCAGAATTTCATCCTGTGATTGGCTAAATTACAACACAAGTTGAACTCCCAGTCTTGAATGGTGTCAACTCTTAAAGTGAGGGCATTGATTAGGAAAAACAGGGGTTCTATCAGTTGGAATATGCATATGTGGAAAGAAGAGCCTAATGAAGCTGGGGACATTGAGTCCCTAAATTCTGATGAATCTTCTCTTCAGAAGACTGTAAAAACAGCTTCTCTAGTAGAAGTAGCTTCCCTACCCTCAGGGGTTAGTGACTCCCACCCCTCGTATTTTTGGCCTTTCCACCTGAATCTGAGGGGATCAATCCTGCATTGCCTAAGGAAACTGAGGTGGCCTCCGCTGCAACAGCTACCATGAAAGATAATACTGACTCTCCTCAGGACCCCACCAACACCCCACTTTGCTTCTAGACTAGACTCAAGTCCTAGTAAGTCCCTAATAGAAAAATATAAGCTGTATCTCATGAGGAAGTATGCTACATTCCAAAAGAACTATTTTATATTTACACAACAAAAATCTGGGGAACATGTGTAGAATGAATATTGAGGAAGTGGGATAATGATAATAGAAACATAAAGTTGGATCAGTATGAACTTATTTTGGTCTCACTAAGCAGAGATTCTCCATTTAATATTGCAGCTCATGGAGTGAGGAAAGGCTCTACCACCAGTGTGTCCGGTTGGTTGTCTAAAACATGGACCAAAATGGGACCCATCATGAGTGAAATAGAAATGCCAGACCTGCCTTAGTTTAATGTATTAGAAGGAATTCAAATGCTTAGGGAGATTGAAATGGTAGAGTGAATTTGTCATTTAATACCTACTCACCCACTTGGAAGGGTCCAGAAGACAAAACTTTCACCACTACTCTGAGAAATAATTTCATAAAAGGAGCCCTGACATCCTGAAAGAGCTCTGTAATCATTCTTCTCTGTAGGCTGAACACTATAGTGGGGACTGTGGTCACTAAATTGAAAAATATAAATGCAACAGGAATAATTGAATCCCAGGGTGGCAGGGGCAAAGTGACAGCACTCAACCACAAAAGGCAAAGTGGATATGGTTACTGTAATGAACAGCAGAGTCAAAGCAGCAATCAGAATAGTCTGACTCGCACAGAATGTGACATTGGATAGTTAATCATGATGTTCCTAAAAATAAAATAGGAAACATACGAAATTATTGTTTGATCTGTATAAGCCAAAAAGTTTTAGGTCAGGTGGACAAGAATCTACCTGACTAATAAAAGGAAAACTGCCAAAAATTTATACTGTTAATCTTTCTCCCAGCCTTCCCCAAAGGGATCTATAGTCTTTTATTAGGGTAACTATTCACTGAGGAGAAGGAAATAATCAGACCTTTGGGGACTACTGGACAGTGGCTCTGAACTGACAATAATTGTAGAAGACTCAAACATCACTGTGGTCCACCAGTCACATTAGAGGCCAATAGATGTCAGGTAATCAATAAACTTTGGCTCAGGTTCATCTGAGTCTTCTCCTCTGTCAACTGATCATAGGGAACTCTCTAGGATGCCACAGATATAGAGTAGGAGAGAGAAGGTAATGTGTCAGTTTGATTACATTGGCCTGCTTTCATTATGGAATGGGCAGCATTTTGTTCTTAGTGGAATAAAAACTTATTCTGGGTATAATTTTTTTCTTGCTTGCATGCAATGCTTCTGCTAAAACAGCAATTCATGAACTTAAAGAATGCCTTGCCCATCATAATGATCTTCCACACAGCGTTTCTTATAATCAAGAAACTCAGTTCACAGGAAATGAAGTGTGGCAATGACCCATGTTCATGAAATTTACTGGTCTTATCATGTTTCCCACCATTCTGAAGCAGTTTGTTTGACAGAACAGTGGAATGGCCTTTTGAAGAATCAGTAATAGTAATAGTTAGGTGGCAGTAACTTGCAGGGATGCAGCAAGATTTTCCAAAACGTTGTATATAATCTGAATCAGCTTCTCCCATAGCCAGGATTCCAAAGTCTGGGAATCAAGTGGTGGAAAGGAAGTGGCACCACTCGCCATTATCACTATTGGACTATTGGCAAAATGTTTGCTTCCTGTTCCCACCCTTATGCTCTGCTGGCCTAAAGGTCTTGGTTCCAAAGGGAGAAAATTTTCCACGAGGAAACAAAGTAATGATTCCATTGAACTGGAAGTTAGGACTGCTCTCTGGCCAGTTTAAACTCCTTATGCATCTGAACCAACAGTATAAGAAGGGAGTTTTTAGGCTGGCTGGGGTGATTGATCTTAACTACCAAGGGGAATTAGAATACTTCACAATGGAGGTAAAAGTAAGAGAATGTCTGGAATATTGGAGATCCCTTGGGGCGTCTCTTAGAATTACTATGACTTGTGATTTAGGTTAATGGAAAACTACAATAACCCAGTCCAGGCAAGACTTCTAATGAATCAGACCTTTCAGAAATGAAGGTTTGGGCCACTCTACCAGGTAAAGGACCATGATCAGCCTTGACGTTTGCTGAAAGCAAATAAAAAATACAGAATTGATAATGGAAGTAGTCATAAAAACAAGCAATGACCACATGACCAGTTACAGACATGAGGACTGAAATTGTCCTTATGAGTGTTTCTACTTCTTTTGTTATGAATATGTTTGTGTGTATGAATATGCATGTATACATAAACATGGACATATATACACACACATACATATATACTAAACATCTTTATTTTCTTCTGTCTCTTATTCCTTTATCATGTAACATAAGTTGAATTGACTTTATGTCATAGTATTTAAGTATTTTTGATACATTAATATAAGTATACATTATATTAATGTATTTAAGTTATGCAATACCAGGAGAAAAATAAACATCACTCAAGGACTTTACCTCCTCTTCTGGGGAAGAGGTTAGCACGCTTTTGGTTGTACACATGATAGTTGTATCATGTAAATTGAATTATAACCTTGTTATTATCTATATTTGGAGATTAACTATGTTTAAGGAGATCCCTATGGGTGCCATATTGACAACGAGTGAACTTGTGATGATTTATTTTATGTGTCAACTTGGCTAGGCCACAGGCTTCCCAGATATTTGGTTAAACATGTTTCTAGGTGTGTCAGTTTCTGGATGAGATTAACATTAGAATTGGCAAACTGGTAAACATTAGAATTGGCAAAAGCAGACTGCCCTCCCCAGTGTTTGTGGGGCTCATCCAAGTTGTACAAGAACTGAATAGGATTGAAGACCCAGTGAGAAATTCTTTCTCACTGCCTGACTTCTTCAAACAGACATCAATCTTCAGACAGATATTGGTCTTCTCTAGCATTTGGACTTGGACTCAGACTGGATCTTACACCATCATCTCTCCTAGTTTTCAGTCCTGTAGGTTTGAACTGGAAGTAAAATATCATCTCTACTGTGTCTCCGACCTTCCAAGTGCAGATCTTGGATTTCTCATCTTCCATAATTGCATGAGCCAATTCCTTAGATTGTTTCTGTTTCTCTGGAAAACACCGACTAATACATTCCATACAACGAATCATCAATTCAATTCTACCTGGAGTTTTTCTCTCACATTTCATCTCAATTCTCACTGCCACCATCCTTATTAGTCATTTACAGTATAAGTTTAATGACGTTCTAATACCCCTCTCTCTCTCTCTGGTTTTGCCACTCTCAGATCTGGTGTTCACACTACTCTCAAGGGAAAGATTCTAAATTAAAGACATTATGTCCCTCCCTGTTTAATATTCATCAATAACTTCCCAATGCTTTAAAGAAAAAATATATACTTATTAGGATGACTTCCATAAACTATATGTTCTTTATTATCTGGCCTTCTTTACTTGCCATAATTGTTTTGAGATACATTCATGTTATTTTGTGTATGAATATGTTCATCCTTTTTTATTGCTAAGTAATATTCCATTGTGTAGCTATACCAAACTTTGTTTATTGATTCACCTGATGAAGGACTTTTGGGTTATTTTAAGTTTTTGGCTATTACAAACAAAGTTGCTATAAATATTTGCATACAGTCTTTTCACGGGCATAAATCTTTGTTTTTTGTGTAAATACCTAGAAGAGAAATGGCTAGGGCACATGGTAGGTATACTTCTTAAGAAACTTGGCTGAGTGCAGTGGCTTATGCCTGTAATCCTAGCACTTTGGGAGGCCGAGGCGGGTGGATCATTTGAGGATGGGAGCTCAAGACCAGCCTGGCCAACATGGCAAAACCCCGTCTCTACTAAAAATACAAAAAGTAGTTGGGCATGGTGGCACACGCCTGGAATCCCAGCTACTTGGGAGGCCGAGGCAGGAGAATTGCTTGAGACTGAAAGACAGAAGTTGCAGTGAGCCAAGATTGTGTCACTGCACTCTAGCCTGGGTGACAGAGCGAGACTGTCTCAAACAAAAGAAAGAAAAGAAACTGCTATTTTCCAAATTTGTTGCCATCATGTTACATAACCACCAACAGTGTATGAGAGTTCCAGTTGCTCCACATCTTCACTAGCACTTGGTATGGTTTGAATATATTGGGACTCATTTAATGGCCAATAATGTGGTCCATCTTGGTAAAGGATCCATGTGCATTTTAAAAGAATGTGCATTCTGCTGTTGAGAAGAATGTTCTACAAATCTGAATTAGGTCATGTTAAGTGATAGTGTTGTCCAGGTCTTTTATATCCTTACAGATTTTCTGGCTGTGTGTTTTACTAGGTAGAGAGAAGAATGTTATAAGCTTCAACTGTAACTGTGGATTCAACTATAAGCTTCAACTCTTAGTTCTATTGGTTTTTCCATCATTTATTCAGGAGTCCTGCTATTAGATGTATACACTTCTAGTATTATTATGTTCTTTTGATAAATTGACCCCTTTACTGTTAGGAAATGACCTTCTTTATTCCTGATAATATTATTTTCTCTGCAATCTACCTTGATATTAATATAGCCACTCCATGTTTCTTTGAATTTGTGTTATCATGTGCCATTTTTTCCTTTTCTTTTGGAAACATTTAAAAACTTAAAAATTTTTAAAGTAATGTTAGACTTCCAGAAAAATTGCAGAAATAGTACAGTTTCTGTACACCCTTCCTCCAGCTTCCCCTAATGCAAAATGCCTCTTTGTTCTCCCAGGTTGTGTCCTCTATTAGAGAGATTGCCATGCTCCACCTGGATTCCCCCATCTAAATGCTGCATCCTCCTCTCCAGGAAATAGGTAGAAAACAAACATAAGCCTTGCTGCTTTTGTTTCCTGTCTCTTTAGGATTACTTTTGCTTTTTGTCTAATGTTTGAAATCATTGTTTCATATGTTTGGTACAGTTTTTTAGTTGTTCCAGGCTGTGGTGTAAATCTGGTCTCCCTATACAGTATTTTGAACCTACTTTTATCTCAGCATTCAACATATTATTGAGTATTCATTGAAAGCATTGGTTTAGTGGATAATGTAAGCACTACATGCATATTCACTTGAACACCTTTACCATTTTCCTGCACACAGGCTTTCAGTATGCTTTCATTCTCAACAGCCAGTAACAGGCTTTTTTTGGGGGACTACCCTCAGTCTGCTTGTACATAAATGGTAGGGAAGTTTCTGGGAATTTACTCCCCTTGCCCTATCCCTTAATCAATGACTTCATGGAACAAGAATATAAATACTGCAGCTTCCTTGCTCCCAATGGAACCAACTCTGAGGTATGATCTATACTTTCTCTACAGCTCTTCTGAGAGATTGAGCAAAAGTTACTTTCTAAGGGATTTTGCTTGTTTGCCATCCCTCCCACTACCTTACTGTTTTTTCAAATATGAATTCCTCTTAATAATCCTTTTTCACATTAACCCTTTCTTTCGGGTCCATTTCTGAGGATCCCACACTAGCATAACCAGTTGAAATTGCCGGTTAATATTCTACTCTTTATACCATAACTTAACTATTCTTCAACAGTTCAACCTTTAGGTTGTTTGTATTTATTTTTCCTACAATAGCTAGATTTGTAATGATAATCTTTGCATGAAAAATGTTTCTCTGGGATCCAGATTACTTTCTATGGATAGATTTCTAGAAGGGAAATTACTAAATAAGAGCCTGAATGAATATTTTATGGTCTTGATCATATTGCCAATTTGCTTTCCAGAAAATGTGTATCAATTTATAGTTCTCTTTGCAGCATATCTTTTAAAATTTTTTACCATATTGAATTAATTTTAATATGAACTTTTTTAAAACTTTGCTAATTTTATTAATGATAAAAGATTATTAGTAGTGTTTCCATTTCTTTAATTGCTAATGAGATTGAAAACTTTCTTACAAAGTTTTCAGTTGTTTCTACTCTATGAATTATCTGTTTATGAACTTTGTAATTCTTTAATTATCTTAGTGTTTTCAACAATGTACAGTTATTTAATTGAAAGTTGTAATTTATGCAATCTATTTAATCTGTATAAATATTTCCCTATGCGTTTGCTTTTAAATTTTTTAGTATTGTTTGAAATTCAACAGTTTAATTTTCAAGTAGTCCAATCTGTTTGCTTTCCCTTGCCATTTTTTCTAATGCTTCTCTACTTAGAAAGTTGTACTACATTTTAAATCAGATAAATGTTATCCTATATTTTCCTCTAGATTTTTTTCTTCTTATCTCTCTTTCTAACATTTATCTTATGAATTCCTCTGCTTTTTATTTTGACATATGGCAGGGGTGAAAAATAGATTCCATCTTGTGTGCCAAGTTGATTCATTTACTCAGTAAAAATTTATTCAGTGTTTACTATGTACCAGGCACAGTGCTAGACATGATTAGTAAAAGAAAATGTTGAGATGTCTATTTTTTAAAGTGTTTTAAAGAGATTTTTTAGATGTTGTTTGTGAAGCTTTTTAAATTTCTCAAACAAAAAGAAATACAAATACAACACATCATGCTAGTCACATCTGAGATCAACTAGAAAGCACACTTAGTTGATGGAAGAGAAAGAGGATGGGAGAAATGTGTGCAATGGCAGTTCCAGTGCTGGGGATCTTGTCCTCCTTTGATATGGTGTGATATCAACTCACTCCTCTTAGAAAACAGATCTTATGATCACAGATATGCTCAACAATGTTAAAGACTGCGAATGAGTAGAAAGCATCATTATCCTGAAGAGAATAAATTGATTATCATGGGTTACTAAAAAATACTCACCTTTTTTCCCTCTCTTCATCTAATTACCTAAAAGTAGTAAGATATAATAAAAGTTTTTCTATAAATATTTTAACATTCTTGTGATTATATTGTTTATACCACTTTACATTCTAAATCCATTTAACATTATGAAATATTTGCATATGTCATAAACTACTTAGTAAGCATCACATCTAACAATTAACATAAAAAGAATTTTAATGGACCAATTACTCTTTTCAAAGAAGAAATAGTTTCTCTTCTTAAATATTATGCATAGGTATTGTCTTGCAGATTCTCTATTGGGGATATTATTATAAACTCATGCCCATTTTTTGAGTGTACCCATTTAATCAAAGTAAATTAATACAAGCACACAAGACCTTAGGCCCTCAAACAAATTTCTTGTTCAGTTATCTAGGCAATCTTTTCAAATTCCTTCTTTTTAGTAACTCTTCAGATCATTTGTTCAATAATTTATTGAGCCTTTAATATGGAAAATGAACTACTGTGTGATAGGATATTGCCATAAGAAATAATGGTCCATACATTCTAATGACTGAGGCAGACCCTTCTTTGCTTCTTAGAATCTATTCTTAAATGTAACTCTTCACATCTTCAACCTATCTCTCTCCACTGGTTCCTTTCCAAACACTGTTAAGTATATGCTATCCAAACAAGCCAAAAACCAAAAATCAAATGAAGCCAAGACTCAAAACCAAAAAGCAAACTTTATTTTAACCTGGTTTCTTCTATTGAAGCTACACCCAATTTAATCTCCCTTCTCAGCCAAACATATTAACACCAAAGTTCACCCTTACCACACCTCTTTTCATATTTACTTTTACCCATTTATCTGCCATACTCTTGCAATTTTCTACCTCATCCCTACTCTGTTAACTCTATGGCCTGTTTGGCTTTATTTTACTTGCCCTCTCAGTAGTCCTATCAGTAACACTCCCCTCTCTTGAAGAACTCTCTTCTGGATTCCTTTGGTTTCCTGGTCACTTTTCTCACATAATTTTTCTCGACCAACAATTCCTCCTGTTACCTTACTAGTCATTTGAATGTATAGTAGAAGCAATTAATGTTACTTACGCAACTCACTCGATTAGAGGAGGCTCTCCTCTTCTCTGCAAATCAGATCAACAGAAGCCTCCCTGTCCTTCCCCTCCACACTTCAGGGCTGAAGACTGGCACATAAGCTAATCTCGAGTAGGTATGTACATGTCAATTGAGCTGTGTGCTTAGCAGAGACAAGTGGTTTATTCTAAGACTGTTTATGCAATTCTTGCTGTTTTCATTATGTAATTTAACCAAATATTATGCAAACTAAGAAATATGAGGCTAAAAAAGAGTTATTTCTATGAAAATTAAGGTGAATGCTTTGGAAAAGCTCCATGATGGCTGATAGCTTAAAGAAAAATTGCAGTCAAATTAGGTGAGCACCAAGACCAAGAAAAAAAAAATCCTTTACATTTAGATGTATTTTACATTGACATTACCTTACCATCCACCACTCAATGAAGCTGAAACTGGAAACTGTGAATGGTGTTCTATGGCTAAAAGACAAACCTAAGCCCTAACCAACAACAGGTCCACCCGTAAAGCAGAGGCCTTGGGTCCCACATTAAAAGAGAATTCAGTGAAAGTACAGTGATATGTTTCTTATTTTATTCTTTATTATTTTTATTCTTATTTATTTATTTTGAGACAGGGTCTCGCTCTGTCACCCAGGCTGAAGAGCAGTGGCACCATCAGGGCTCACTGCAGCCTGGACCTCCCTGGTTCAAGTGATCCTCCCGTCTCATTGTTCTGAGTAGCTGGGATTACAGGTGTGAACCACAATGCCTGGCTAATTTTTGTATTTTTTTGTAGATACGGGGTTTTGCAATGTTGCTCAGGCTGGTCTCCAATTCCTGGGCTCAAGCAGTCTGCCCGCTTTGGCCTCCCAAAGTGCTGGGATTACAGGCATGAGCCACTGCGTACGGCCCATTTATATGTTTTAAGGTGTCTTTGCATCACTTTTATAATTTTTGGCTTTAACTGACTTCACTGATTAACCGATCACTTGTCTCAATTACCTCAAGAGGCCACCTTCTCTAGAAATATCTTGATTGCATCCTTAGGCCTATTCTTTTCCTGTTCTGCTCTTTCCCTGAGCAATTAAATTTCCAACCAGAGCTTCAATATAGTCTTTAAACAAATTAATACAAAGTCCGCAAGCTCTTTGAAATGAGGATCCCTCGTTTATTCATCACTGCATCACCCATCTTGCACTCTGTCCTTGCACTGTGCCTTGCACACAGTAACTATTTTTAAAAATGTTGAGATTTAAACTGTATTTAAGAATTAGTTATAAATTACAACCCAAGAATTAGAAGTCAGTCTTGAATGAATGTGTCACAAGAACATTTCTTTGTTTTGCAATCATAATTTACCCCTTCTCAGCAACTAAAGAAGCTCGCTTGACAAGTATAATTGGAAAATTATCATTTTAAATTGGGTAGCTGAAGCTTAATTTTAAAAAGTAAATGGTAGTTTTTCTGAAAAGTATGAAACTTTCTGAAGGTAAGCAAATGGTCCAATCCATTTTAGGTGGACAATGACAAGTACCACTACGGCACTGAGTTTTACGTAAAGTGAGAAGTTTCGCTTCTCAAGTGTTGTGGATTAATTTCTTAGGCAATTTTCTCTGAGCATTGCAGGAGAGCTATGGTTATCCTTTCCATTTTACAGATGAAAGAATTAATGGTCCTAACAGTTACTTACTCTTGACCTTCAAGATCATTTGTAACTTCAATGGAATTTGTGCCTTGATGCTACACATCTTGAGTCATCTTCTAAATTCTTCTAAGGCTCGTTAGAATTGTGCAGGAGAATCAGGGACAAACTAGCAAAAAGTCAAGCCACAGTTGTCACTTATCTACTCTGCAGGCAGTCTAGAATTATGCCATTGGAGTTCAGTCTTTTCATTTAATAGTTTCTCTCAAAATTGTTGGGTAGAAGACTAAGTTAGTAATTCAGTTTTAATATCTTCCTGTTAGTTAACATACCCAGTTTTCTTTCCTCTGATTAAGCAGCTAAAGGAAAGGAAGAGTCATTTTAGATTAGGCTACTTTGTCTTGAAGAAGGCAAGTCCAAGTTTGTGTATATGAGTGGGTGAGGTTGGGAGAGAAAGGCATAGTCATAGTCTAGGATTCTGGAAAACCAAGGGGGATAACTAAAATTTTGGATGCCAGGAGCTGAAGAGTTGAACTAGAGAGCAGAGTGATCCAAGACAAATGTTTCCATTTCACAATTTTAATTTGGGCAGAATTTAATGCTGTGATAACTCAATTCTTCTTATATTTTGTTTGAAAATTTGTTCCACTTTATTTCTAACTAAAATTATTGGTAGTCATTTTGTTCTGACTCAAAATATTCCTGAAAACTATAGTTTAAATAGCATTTATGAAGCAGATTATTATTTCCCTTAGGAATAATTCTAAAATTAAACGTTGAATTTCTGACCCAGAACTTGGCATTGGATACTTTATAAATATGACCAGCCACCCTCATCACAATTAAAAAATTACTATATGTTATAACATATTAAAATTGTAATGCCAATTTTATAAAATGGTCATGAGTAAACTAAGTATAGCTTTCATAAAAATCAATCCAATAAATTATAATATTTTGGGGGAGGGGACATTAAAAAATGTCATGTTTTACTGGCCACTGATCTTTTCTGTGGTATCTCTGCTTATCTAAAGTCTTTGACTATTAAAGGCAGTGAGTTGGTGAGAAGCTGGATGAGCCATTGGAAGATTTAGGAAGTTCACTTCTGAGGCTCACATATGCTCCCTTTCCATTCTTTCTAACTTCCTATGAAATTAAACTGAAAAAAAAATGTGGTAGTTAGCTCATTATATGCTAGCTGTAACAAACATTAAGCAACATATTCATAATGATTTCGTATACTGCCTTAGAATTTGGAAAAGTTTAGGGTTGGCTAGATATCCTGCTTTAGAATGTTGTTAGAGGTTTGAAATGATAGTTCCTCTTCCTTTAGACTAGCTACACATCCTGTGGCAAATAGGGACTTCTAAATCACGTCCATTATTAGTAGTCTGTATTCAAAAGGTATTTATTTATTTTTATTTTATTTTATTTATTTTTTTTTTGAGATGGAGTCTCGCTCTGTTGCCAGGCTGGAGTGCAATGGCGCAATCTCAGCTCACTGCAACCTCCGCCTCCCAGGTTCAAGCGATTCTCCTGCCTCAGCCTCCCGAGCAGCTGGGACTACAGGCACACGCCACCATGCCCAGCTAATTTTTGTATTTTTAGTAGAGACAGGGTTTCACCATGTTGGCCAGGATGGTCTCGATCTCATGACCTCGTGATCCGCCTGCCTCAGCCTCCCAAAGTGCTGGGATTACAGGCGTGAGCCACCGCACCCGGCCTCAGAAGGTATTTCTTAGTGATATTGATGGTAAGGTTTCTCTCATTGAAAAGCATTTTTATAAATAAGAACAAATCATCTACTTTCTCCTCTGCCCTCCTCTTCAGATATAGTTGAAAATTACAAAGGTGGCAACGTAGTGACAGATGTAAACAAGGCATAAA